>NC_000011.10:110505757-110808788 GCF_000001405.40 Homo sapiens
ATGGGGCCTGGCCACTAAGGTGGAAGACTAGGGCATAGGTATTTGTGTTAATAATCACGTATGTCCAGAAAGCCAGGGGTTCCAGCCACAGAAATGAGGCTTTCAGCACACGGCACTAATTACCATGATTTCACAGCTGTGATCAATTCACGTTTTCTCACTTTGAGCTCAGGCCTGCTCTATGGGGACTAATGTGAAGAGGTGTAAAAATAAGTTCTGTTTCCAGCCAGATTAATTACAGGCTCTGCTGAGGCCCCAGTGCATACTGCCTGGACTGCAAGATTGATTGGCTTAGGCCCCAGGTCCAGCTGAAGGAAGGCTACATGGGCTGGCCCAAGGCTGCCCCAGGGGATGCGACTGAAGTCAGAGAGGCAGCCCAGCCCTGCTGCTGTCCGGTTGTGGCTCACCCTGTAGCCTCCTCCTGAGGGCCTTCCCTCCAAATGCCACCCATCCATCTCAGAGATGTTCAGGGAAGATTAAAATGAGGCAACGTCTGTAAAAGCCTAGAACATGACACAGAGTGTAAGGGATGCTCGACAGAAGCTAGTTATAATGTCGTTATTATCAGTGTTATTTATTTTTATTGTTATTAATTATATCCTTCTCCTCCTACTAAATCCTAAGTTCTTTGAGAGCAGGGACTTTTTTTTTTCTTTCAGAAAAATACAGAGTGCAGAACACAAGTCAATGTGTATGCCTTTGACACATGATTTTCCAAGCCACTAAATGAATTGTGAAGTTAAAAAGGCACTTCTGAGAAACAGCTATAGAGAGTTGCTCACTTTGCCTAGAGACAGAAATCACAGGTGATGTGGCAGGGGCAAGTCTTTTGTGTGTAAAGAGATAGATTATGGGTAACAGATGTAAAATCATGTTTTCTGTTCCTGCTGACAAGAGGGGATCAGTATACTTGTTGGGGTGAAGTGTGTTTGCCCAAATGGAAGTCTTTGCTAGGAACTTATGGGGGCTCCTTCAGGGGTGCCCCAAGAGAAAAGGCAGGGATGATGAGTGTGGCTTCATGACAGCAGGTGTCTCTGCCCCTACTGTGTTGGAACTTGGCAGGAGTGGTGACCACAGAGCCTGTCCATGCACCATAAGTGGGCACGCTGATCCAGATCACCCCGTGACAACACGGCCCCTCCAGAGCCTGCAGGGAAACAGCAGCCCAGCCAGACAGGGGGTGGGGCACCTCTGAACAAAGGTTTGGGCCAATCAAGAATCGGAGCTCCTAACAACAATAACTAAGATGCATTGAGCTGGGCACTCAATAAGCATCTGCCCTCCTTTATCTGATAAGTTCTCATAACAACCTTTTATGGTAAATACTAACAGCATGCCCATTTTACATGTGAGGAAACTGAGGCTTAGATCAGGTAAGTAGCTTATTCAGTGTTGCTCAAGTAAATACGTTTTAAGAACCCTCAGCCTCGCTCTCCTCTTCCTCAGGGCACACTTTTTTTTTTTTCCTTCCTACTGTGTGAGCTGTGGTGGGAATGTTAATCGGGATGCCTGTCTTTCCCTAGTCTTGGGGTCAGGCAAGTGCTCAAAGTCAGGATAAGCAAACTCTCCTTCCTGGGACTCTGAGGAAAGGCTCATTGATGGGGGAAATGGAGGGAGTGGATTCACTCCAGCTCAGCTCCGGGACAAGATGGCCATGGAGCTCCTGCTACATAAATGTCAGGGACTATCCTGGCTCCATCCTGCCTGCTTCCCTAGCTGCTGCCCAGCACTCACCTTATAAACATCCTTCGAGCTGGAGTTAGCCCGAATTGGTTTCTGTCCCTTGTGACCACTGAGCCCTGGCTGACACAATCACAGGCTGGCGAGCAGAGGTACCAGACTTGGGTCCAGGCAGCCTGGCTCCAGATCGTGCCTTCCCCATTGCTCCAGGCCAAGCCAATGGGCAGTAGCCACCACAGAGCCCCCTCTATGGAACCCTCAGGATGGAAAGAAGGGACTCTGGAAAGGCCGAGGAAGTCCACTGAGAGTTGACCGACAGGAACCCCTGCTTCTCTGGCCTTCAGTGTGCATGAGGAGCTCAGGTTCCAAGTTTCCAAGTGACGTGCCTCCCATTCCAGCTATATTTACATCTTCTGAGTGATGTTCAGAGGTGGTGGCCTTGGTCCCATCTCCTGATGGCTGTGAGCCTGCTCAGGCCAACATTTTAGCTCCTAGGATGGTCCTGGAGCTACGGCCCACCTTTTCCCCAGGTCTCGACTTTGCCTTGCCTTCTTCCCCACAGCCTTCTTTGTCTTCTTGGCTGCCTCCCTCCTGCTCCTAGAAGGGCCTGGTACCAGCCGTGGAAGCTGTGATGTGGTGCCGTCCACGGTCAGCAGCTGCCAACTCTACTATCCTGGAAGGAAGGGCTTAGTTCCCAGGTACAGAAATAGGAAGTTTCAGGAAGCTGGTGAGAGAGAGTGGCTGTGGTTGGGGGCTGCAGTCACACCTGTGTGAGGCTGGCCTACGCTCAACCTTACAAGGGCTGATGCCTCCAAGCAATTGTCCTCCAATTATGTTGGCTTCTCTGATTCCCTTAAAGATTATTCTGCCCAGTTGGCCAGATCCGCTGCACAGGCAATCCAATTTGTTTGGGAAAATGCCAGCCAGATCATTTTCCAATTTGATGTGTTTCTTTGCCCAACCTGAGATTCTTCCATCAGACTGAATTTTTTCCTATTTTTCCTGGCTCATTACATGGCTCTCTGGCCCATCTCTTGGGAATCAGACCTCCTGAAGTCCTGCATTCAGAGTCCCAGAAGGCCAGCAAAGAGGCCCAGGGTAAAAGATAGGGCTTAAAAACAAAACAAAACAAAACAAAACCTTAGAAAAAAGGCAAAGAATATGTGATTCAGTGAACTCATTCAGCAATATGGAAGAGATTAGTTTTCAATTACTTTAAATTTGAAAAGCAAAATAAATACTAATAGAGTGAAGCAATTCATTAATCTTATGATGCCATTTCTTTTCATTTGATACAGAACATAATTGATTACAACCTATTTATTTTCATTTAATTTTTGAATAGGTGATACATGCATGTGGTTCACAAACCAATAATTATAAAAATGTATACAGAAAGTTTCCTTTCCAACTTTGTTCCTCGTCTGCCCTGCCCCACAACCACAATTCAAATGTTTTTCAATGACTAAAATCTGTCTTTCTAACCATACTTGTCCTCCCCTGGGCTTAGTTTTAACTTAATTTTATCCCACAGATTAAAAAAAGAAACTATTTTCTCACATTATCTTTTGAGAAGATTTTTGCTTTAAAAAAATGATATGTGATACATAACTGAGACTGTGTTGTCATCTTTGAAATTCTTTTCCCTGGTGTTTTTATAAGCCAGAGTCTCCACTAACCTCAGATGACCTGATAAGTTTTGTGTCTCAAAATCCCAGAAAGATTTGTTGAGTGTCAATTGGTATCTTGAGGTCCATGTAGTCAGTGATAAATACCATGCCAAAACTCATCCAAACTGGCAATGAGATGTTAAAGCCCTGAGAAGGATCTCTGGCCAGTCATGCCCTCTGTCCCTTTAGGGTCTCAAACTGTCAGTAAGAGCATGTTATTTTAGACCAAACCAGAGAAGTGTCAGGGGACAATGGTGCTCCTTGGGAAATGCCTTCAACTCACATCAACAACCATGCACCAAGCTCTGTGCTGGGTCCTGAGAAGGAAAACATAAGATGGTTGTTAGGTAGTTGGACGTTTTGGCTAGGGGTGGCATGCAGAGAAAGAGGGAGAGTGAGAATATGCTAGAACTAGAGCAGTAGAAAGAATGGTCTTCAATTCTGGCCACAGATTAGAATCATCTAGGGAAGATCTTTAAAACTATTGATCCCTGAGCCTCACATCCTGGAGTTTCTGGATTCTGATTTATTTGATCTGGAGTGGAGCCCAGGTATGACTATATTTTAACATTGTCTCTAGGTGATCTGACTGTGTAGCCAGATGATGAACTCTAAGGTCATTAGAGTCCAAAATATTTACTTTGAATCTCATTGAGATACAAAAGCATGTGATTACAACTTATATAGTGCAGGTTTCACATTACAGATATCATTTTGTTCTTAGAGAGTAAATGGAACAATATAAATGGATTTCCCTTGTGGTATCTGAATAAAGCCATCATATTTATGTGAATTTGATTGGAGCCAAGGTTAAAATGAAAACAAGCAGTGCAAAACCCGGCCCCTTTACAGTTTGGCCAGGATAATTTGGATGGTCCCTACCTTTATGGCTTGTTGTCTTACCACTCTCTTCTACCTTTCCCTCACTGCTCTTCTCTATAAAATGATCATTACCATCTTCTCTTTGCATCTCAAACATTTCCAGAGCTCCTAGTGACTTAGAGGGGACACTAGTTCTCAAATTGGTCCAAAGGTCATGTTATGCTTGGAGAAATCACAGTGTACGGCTCTGAGGATATGAAGTGTGTAACTTTTGTTTTTTTTTTTTTGTTTTTTTTTTTTTTTTGAGATGCAGTCTTGCTCTGTTGTCCAGGCTGGAGAGCAGTGGTGCAATTTCGGCTCACTGCAGCCTCCACCTCCTGGGTTTGGGCGATCCTCCTGCCTTGGCTTCTCAAGTAGCTGGGATTACAAGCATGCGCCACCATGCCTGTCTAATTTTTTTTGTATTTTTAGTAGAGACGGGGTTTCACCATGTTGGCCAGGCTGGTCTTGAACTCCTGTCCTTAAGTGATCTGCCCACTCGGCCTCCCAAAGTGTTGGGATTATAGGCGTAAGCCACTGTGCCCGGCCTAAAGTGTTTAACTTTGTTTAATTCAGTGTTTCCCAAACTCATTTGACCACAGAACACTTTTTGTGAACACAGGTGTGAAGCAGACATGGTCCACAGACCTGAGCTTGCATCTTGAATGAAGGCAGGTCTGTTTGCACATCCCCAAGATGGCCTTCAGTGATGCTCAGATGCTCACCTTATGGCCTTTATGCTCTTGGGTGGCCTGTCGCATCTTGAATCAGGGCTGAGCTGTGTGACCTCCAAGGCTAGCTAATGAAGGGGGTGTGGCTTCTGCCTTGTTTTCTTGGGTTGCTTCTTCTTGGGGGAAGCCAGCCACCATGTTGTTAGGACACTGGAGTAGCCCTGTGAAGTGGTCCACATGGTAGAGAATGGTAGCCTCCCATCTACAGCCAGCACCACTGTGGCTGAGCCATCTTGGAAGTGGACCCTCTGATCACAGTCCTTCAGCTGACCAGCATCTTGATGAGAACCTCATGAGAGCCAGAAGTGCCAGCTAAGCTCTCTCAAATTCCTAACTCACAGAAACTGTGAGAGTTAATCAGTGTTTATTGTTTTAAGCCACTGTGTTTTGGGGTAATTTGTTATTTAGCAATAGGTAACTAACACACCTGGAGATTTTACTTTTGGGTCTCAGTTTCCTCATCTGTAAAGTGGGCATTACAGTACCTTCTTCATAAGGTTATCATGCCAATCTTAAAAGGAGAAAATGCCTGACCTATAGTGTGTGATCAATAATTGGTAGCTATTTTTACGAGCTCTTCTCCATTCTGATCGGTCTTTTTTGTTTCAATTGTCTTAAAACCTCATTGTACAATTTCAACTATTTATGCCTATATTTGTAGTTACAACTAGATGGAAAGCTTATTGTCTTTCATTTATTTTGTCTCACCTGACAACACAGAAAACAGTCTTTTGGATTCACAGTATGAGCGATAATAGGTGGGCTCTTTAAAGGCTCGCTTTGTTGTGTCTCCTTTGGGGATCTTGCTGACCATCTCTACCTGCTACATTCATCTTACAGCCAAGTGTGAGGCCTGCCCTCTGCTATATAACTATGCTTTAGAGCCACAGGACAACCTTGTTCTTATTCCTAACCTTGGAGGTCCCATCTGCCAGGTAAGGAGTAGAGATCTCAGGTGACAATGAACTTTAGTAGGAGCCTTACTACTCAAGTACTGTGGTTCCCTCTCCCTGAAAGGCTTCCAAATCTCTCCACCTCTTTGTCCCCACCGCTACCACCCTAGGCCAGGCCATCATTATCTCTCTCTTGAGCTATCACAATAGCTTGCCACCTGCTTCCAGGATTGTCTCCCCACTCCCTGAAATTATGTCCGATATTTCAGCTAGAATAATATTCCTAAAGTTTAAATTTGATTATGGCATGTCCCTGCTCCAAACTCTTTTAAATGATTTACAGGACCTCGCAAGTTCTCATGTGTGTTCACCCTTCCAGTCCCACCTCCCCACAATATCTATTTGCAGTTCCCAAATGTGCTAATCTGTTTCTAGTCTCTTAAGCTTTGCACATAATTTTCTTTCTGCTTTAGGTCACATAACGTATAAAGTTCCAGAGAGTCCCCCAAACAGCATTACCATCAAAGAGCCATGTTTCTCTCATCCCAGATTAGCTGTAGCTGCATAAAATTCCACTATCCACTAGTGAGACACTCAAGAGTTTAATAAGCATTTCTTCCTGTTAGATTACAGATAATTGGCAGGGTGAGTGGGTGGGGGATGGAGAGTTACACAGGAATTTGGCTTCTTGGCATTAAAGACCATATTGTCCATGTGATTCCCCAAACCATTTCAGTTTACTTGGGTCAGTGGGCAAGAGCATTTAGATGTTGAGTGAAAGAAGACCAGGTTAGAATTCTGGAGCCCAGGGGTCAATACATAGACTACTACCCAGCCCTGACCCTTCTTCTGAACTCCAGACCTGGAAAGCCAATTGCCAATTGGACGTCTCTACTCACATGTCCTGCAGACAGTCAAATTTCTCATGTCCACAACCAAACTCATTGTAGGGTCTCCCAAGCCTTCTCTTCCTTTGGTATTATCTTGGTAAATTAATGGAGCAATTAACCACCCAGTCCCTGGGCCAGAAACCTGGATGCCCTCCTGTGCCCACCTCTAAATCTCAGACAAAGTCACTTACAATGTCCTGCATGTTCTGTATGTTGAATATTTCTTCTGGTGGGTCTTTTCCTTTCTATCCACACTGCTTCTGCCTTGGTTCTGATTGACATCTCTGTCCTGCACCATGGCTGCATCAGTTTCTCAAGAGTTTCTCTGCTTCCAGTTATATCTTTCTCCATACACTCCCGTAATGATATTTGGAAAATGCAAAACTCTCCTGATTAAAATTCCTCAGTGACTCCTTTACTCGGTAAGGTGGCGTCCCACATCCTCTGTAAGGTCGCGTCCCACATCCTCGCCATTGCACAGAGGGACCTTGATGAGGGGCTCCTGCCCTCCTCTGCAGCCTCCCCTTGGCTGGCACCCCACTCACATCCTACAGCCTGGCCATGGTAAGCTCATGCTGTTATACTGTTCCTGCATCAGGCTGTGAAGTTTCATGACCCCTCACCCCCCACTGCCTTTTTCATACCCCCCTCACTTGGAAAGTTCCCAAACAGCCCATCAAAGGCATCTTAAAGTCTTAAAAGACCTTCTAAGACTTGGCTCAAACACAGGCTTGCTGAAGTCTTTCCTGACCACCACCCCATCCTCTCCCACTTGGCTGAGCGCTTACAGGGTGGGTGTTCCCCATTTCAGCAGCAACTGACTGACTGAGGGAGGGGGTGTGAGGGGAAGGAGTTCCAGCCGAGCAGGCAATGATATGAAAAATTTGCTCAGCGGAAATCATCAGTGGAAGGGAGGGTGATCCAGGATTAACTCTACTTTGAATTTGGCACCAACGCTTTGGCCCTCGGCCTATGTGAAACCAGAGTGGGGATGAAGGAGATGAGGCTGCTGGCTGGAGGAAATATCTCTGGGGGACAGCAAAGGGTGGCAGACGTGGTCTCTGGCCCCTTGAACCTTCCATGCTTCTTGCTTTGGTGTTTGTGGAAATCTCAGTGCGAATGTGTGGTGGGGAGGGAGACGGGGCTCAAGACAGGAGAGAGGAAGGGAGAGAGACAAATTCATAAGTGTGGACAGCCAGAGGCTGGGAGGAGGCCGAGGCCTTCAGAGTCGGGGAGGGAAGGGCCAGGCTCTCAGCTGAGAAGGGGGAAGCGTGCGTCACCTCATTTAAAAACTCTTTACCAGGCAGCCTGACATTAAGGTTTGCACCTCCTTTGCACTACCCATCCAGAATCCTGCTTCCACATTGCCTTGGGAAAGCAAAGGTGTGGGAGTGAGTGAGGGGTGAGGCGCACCCACCCTTCCTGCCTCCAGCCACTTACCCAAGATTCGGTGACCACAGAGACCCATTTTCCCACAACGGATACCCCTATTTTGTCCACAAATGAGAGAAAATGGAGCCTAAGAAAGGAGCCCTGCGGTGCAGCATGTCATCCTGCGGTGGCTGGCTCGGTGGGCCCCAGCACGGGCCCCTGCAGCACTGGCAGTGCTTTCCCAAACACCGCGTTTTTGATTTAACCAATTCAAAAAGGAGTTAACTTCTCCTGAAGAGTTTCACATAATTGGAAACATGCATTCTGGCAAAGACAGATGGAGAAATTTTTGGTACAACTCCAGCAAAAAGGCCAGTTTATCAACTGCAGTGGGACTGATGGAGGCTGGTCTGCTGCAGCCCAGGAATTTAGGCAGGCAACGAAGCCCGGGGCTGACGGTAGGTAAGTAGGCAGGCAGGCAGGCAGGTAGGCAAGTAGGTAGGTAGCTGCCTGAATGGTGATGGCAAGCTGGACAGAAAGGCGCATGGAGAGAGCTCTATAACTAAAAGGAGCAGGCAGTACTGAGAAAACGGAATCATTTTCCCTAAAGTGATAGCAAACTTTTTTTCCAGTGAGAAAAAAATGAGAGGCTGGGCATGGTAGCTCACACCTGTAACCCTAGCACTTTGGGAGGCTGACGCGGGTGGATCACCTGAGGTCAGGAGTTTGAGACCAGCCTGGCCAATATGGTGAAACCCCGTCTCTACTAAACATGTAAAAACTTAGCTGGGCTTGGTGGCACATGCCTATAGTCCTAGCTACTCGGGAGGCTGAGGCAGGAGAATTGCTTGAATGTGTGAGGCAGAGGTTGCAGTGAGCCAAGATCACGCCACCGCACTCCAGCCTGGATAACAAAGTGAGACTCCGTCTCAAAAAAAAAAAAAAAAAAGGAAAAAGAAATGTGAGACCGGTGATGTGTCAGTGACCAACAGCGGGCTTAATATGATGCTCAGGTGTATAGATGATCAATGTTTTGTCCACACTGTGTGGTGTAGAGGGGGACAGAAGGTGAGTTCTCTCTGTCACTGAGTGACACGTTTCTTAGCCTCTCAAAGCCTGATTCCTCATAGATAAACTGGGGACATGGATGCCTACCTGCAGAGCTGTCACTAGGATTTAAAAATTACTTATAAAGCATGCCTGGTATAGTACCTGGTGCTCTGTATGAAGGATGACCTTGCAGGTAACTTCGGATGCCTTGACGCCTACCATTTATAAGATCTTGCCAGCCAGCTCAGGAAGGGAGAGGAGGTGCCACCTCACCAAGCCTTTAGGTCCCTGGGCCATTTGTTCTGGTGCCTGTGTGGTTGAGGATGCTCCTCGTGAGGACCTGTGATACCCTACTTGGCCATGCTCTTCTCTGTTCCTGATCTCACCCTCCAACCTCTGGCTTGGCCTCTCCCAGATCCTGATCTCTGCCTTCTGTGCCTCTCCCGTGACCCTAAGCAGACTGTTCTCAGCTCCCAAAGACTTGGGTGTCTTTATTCACCTTCTTCTCTGATTCGCAAGAAGCTTCCTGGAATGATTACCATGATTCAATTTCTATGGAAATAAAAAGTTACCCAGTAGCAGCCTGCCCTTTTAACACAACTTCGTTTCTGAATTTTAAAGACAGTTTCTTGGTGGTGAAGAGTCAGGCTTTGGAGTATGCATGTCTGAATTCTAACTCTGGCTCAGTTACTCACTTCAGCAGTGTGACTTTGGGTGAGTCGCTTGACTTCTCTGAACTTCATTTAAATAAACTATAAAGTAAGGGCGGGGCACGGTGGCTCATGCCTGTAATCCCAGCACTTTGGGAGGCTGAGGGTAGGTGGATCATTTGATGTCAGGAGTTCAAGACCAGCCTGGCCAACATGGTGAAACCCCATCTCTACTGAAAAAATACAAAAATTAGTCGGGCATGGTGGTGCGTGCCTGTAATCCCAGCTGCTTGGGAGGCTAAGGTGAGAGAATTGCTTGAACCCAGGAGGTGAAGGTTGCAGTGAGCTGAGATTGTGCCACTGTACTCCAGCCTGGGACAGAGTGAGACTCTGTCAAAAAACAAAACAAAACAAAACACAACCCTATAAAGTAAGAACAGCAACAACAAGTTCATAGCGATATTATGAAGATTTAATTAGTATCTAGCACTTGGGAAATGTTCAATAAATGGTAGCTGTAAAAATAGGATATGTCAATGGGTGTATATCAGTGTATGCATATGCTGTATACACAAATATAAATAATCTCTACCCCTCCTCCAACACAAATCTTTATCTGGGGTCACAGATAAAGTAACCATTCAAGAACCAGGTGACTCAGTTGGGACCTGGCTTCTTTGAGATGGAGTCTTGCTTTGTTGCCAGGCTGGAGTGCAGTGGCATGATCTCAGTTCACTGCAACTTCCTCCTCCTGGGTTCAAGCGATTCTCCTGCCTCAGCCTCCTGAGTAGCTGGGAATATAGCCGTGCACCACCACACCCAGCTAATTTTTTTTTTTTTCTGTATTTTTAGTAGAGACGGGGTTTCACCATGTTGGCCAGGATGGTCTCGATCTCTTGACCTCGTGATCTGCCCTCCTCGGCCTCCCAAAGTGCTGGGATTACAGGCACGAGCCACCGTGCCCGGCCAAGACCTGGCTTCTAATGCGGGCACTGCCTCTAACCAGCTGAGTGACCCTGGAGAGGCCCCCTCATGTAGATGGTTCTCTATAGGCTTCTATGAAGTGTGGCCATAAAGCAGGCACTTGTTACAAACTGAGACATGGAGCACCATGCTGGGGTGCAGGGTTTGGGAAGCAGGGACCCTCACAGGGGTTCACGCTTGTCAAGAAGGAGCTGTGTAAAAGAAGGGGAGGGGCCTGCTGCCTCTTGACTCTGCCTCTCCTCCTCCAGCTTCCTTGGCCACCACAGCCATGTGGACTGCAGGAGAGAGGCCTCTCCAGTCTGCCTTTTCCTTCGCTTAGCGCGAGGCTGCTGCCAAACTGAGGCTGGTTGTTTCTTGATCTCCTACCCAGGTGGTAGCAACTTTCCAGATAAAGCAGGGTCCTCTGTGACCCCAGGAGCCCACCATGTGCTGGAAATGGGCTCTTAACACTGGGATCAGACCCTTGGGGCTTTATAATCCTGGTTCTTAAGTTGGATATTGGACTGTCATTCTGACACACAAACAGAATACTTGAAAAATCCAGGCCCTAGAAAACCAGGATTAAGATAAAGTTGAGGTGCAGGGGCAGTGGGGTCTAGAAGAACATGGACTAAGAGGAAGGGAAAGAAGCTAGTATAGATAGCACGGACTACTGTGCGCCTGACATTGGACTTAGCATTTTACATATATTCTTACCTCATTTATACTCTTCAACAATAGGCAGCACTATTACCAGTCCCATTTTAGAGATGAAGAAGTTAAGGCTGATAGCTTCAGTGACTTGCACAAGGTTACCCAACTAGTAAGTCCTGGTGCCAGGATTTGAGTCGAGGTTTTTCTGACTTCACAGCTTAAGCACTAAACCACTAAACCATATGAGACAGCTAAGAGATACTCAGTTCTCCCCACAGCCTTGTGAGGTGCAGACATCACTATCCTGATTTTCCTGTTGTGAGAAGTATGACCCAGTCTTTCCCAAAGATTCCCAGCATGGATTTGAAGCTGGGTCTGTCTCACACCAAAGCCTGTGTGAGAGCAGCGCCTTCCTTGTCTCCACCGGACACAGGGAGGGCTGGTTGGACTTCCCTCAGAATAGGGCATGCGCTGTTGTGGGAAGTCAGGGACCCCAAACGGAGGGACCAGCTGAAGCCATGGCAGAAGAACGTGGATTGTGAAGATTTCATGGACATTTATTAGTTCCCCAAATTAATACATTTATAATTTCTTATGCCTGTCTTTACTGCAGTCTCTAAATATAAATTGTAAAGATTAAATGGACACTTATCACTTCCCCAGTCAATACCCTTGTGATTTCCTATGCCTGTCTTTACTTTAATCTCTTAATCCTGTCAGCTGAGGAGGATGTATGTCGCCTCAGGACCATGTGATAATTGCGTTAACTGCACAAATTGTACACCATGTGTGTTTGAGCAATATGAAATCTGGGCACCTTGAAAAAAAGAATAGGATAACAGCAATTGTTCAGGGAATAAGAGAGATAACCTTAAACTCTGAACGCCGGTGAGCCAGGCAGAACAGAGCCATATTTCTCTTCTTTCAAAAGCAAATGGGAGAAATATTGCTGAATTCTTTTTCTCAGCAAGGAACATCCCTGAGAAAGAGAATATGCGCCTGGAGGTATAGGCTTATATACAGCTCCCCCAGGTGCGCCTGTGTCTTATGGTCGAGACTGCAGAGGTGAAATAGACTCCAGTCTCCCATAGCGCTCCCAGGCTTATTAGGAAGAGGAAATTCCCACCTAATAATTTTGGTCAGACTGGTTGCTCTCAAAACCCTGTCTCCTGATAAGATGTTATCAATGACAATGGTGCCCGAAACTTCATTAGCAATTTTAATTTTGCCTCGGTCCTGTGGTCCTGTGATCTTGCCCTGCCTCCGCTTGCCTTGTGATATTCTATTACCTTGTAAAGTACTTGATGTCTGTGACCCACACCTATTCGTGCACTCCCTCCCCTTTTGAAAATCCCTAATAAAAACTTGCTGGTTTTTGCAGCTTGTGGGGCATCACGGAACCTACCGACATGTGATGTCTCCCCCGGACACCCAGCTTTAAAATTTCTCTGTTTTGTACTCTGTCCCTTTATTTCTCAAGCTGACCAACGCTTAAGGAAAATAAAAAAGAACCTACGTGAATATCGGGGCAGATTCCCCGATAATGTGCAAGTGGAATTTTGTGATCCCCGGAGGACCGAAGACTTTTAATCATTTTCGTAACACTGACCACTTCTGTCCATTAAAAAACAGAAATTTAACATCAAGAGGAAGCATAACATTTAGAAGGGATTTGTTGAATCTGGTACTGTATTAAGAGAGCCGTCTCAACTCACTGAAAGTATGAGAAGTATTTTGCATTTAAGCAAATAAAAGTCTCAGGAGTCCACTAATAATTATGCAACCCCAAATTTATGGTTCCTAGGTCTCATTGGATAAAATGTGAAGCATAACAACAAACTCGTTAGGTTATGACACATTAAAAGAATGTGAAATATTTATTAAAGCAACAGACAATGGTGAAATAGACAGCTTGGGGCCTGATATTTGAGGATGAGAATACGAATTTTGAGTATACGCCAAAATTGCTCTTTGGCAATATTCATTAACATCTGTCACAAAAGGTCAAGAGACCCAGAAAATATGCGTAAAAATAATTAACCACCAGGTTGAAGTGAGCAGGGAAACCAGGCCCAGGAGAGGTGTGAAAAGGCTTTACAATGTCTGGAAGTCTTCCTCTTCAGTGTGTGTGGGCAAGGAGCTTAGATTCATTGTGGGGATACTTCCTAGGCAAAAATGTAACACCCAATATGCCAATAAGGGGCCCTGAAAGGAGAGGTTTTCAGCAGTGCCTCCTTTTGAGGATGGTGAAGAGAAGTCTTTATGTTTGCTGTTATTGTACTCTCTCATTTAAGAAATATAATTTAGGGCTGGGTGTGGTGAATCACACCTGTAGTCCCAAAATTTTGGGAGGCTGTGGTGCGAGGATGACTTGAGTTCAGGGGTTTGAGACCAGCCTAGGCAACATAGCAAGACCCTATTGCTACTTTAAAAAAAAATTAAAAAAATTAGCCAGGCACAGTGGCACATGTCTGTAGTCCCAGCTACTTGGGATGCTGAGGTGTTAGGATTGCTTGAGCCTGGAGGTCAAGGTTGCAGTGAGCCAGGATCATACCACTGCACTCCAGCCTGAGTGACAGAGTGAGACCCCAACTCTAAACAAAACAACAACAACAGAAAAGGAAATACAATTTTGGCTCTTTTCTTAAAGTGAATAAATGCCATCTGGTTCATGTTTTAACAGTTACATTTTAAAGAAACTGGGGCTCATTTAGACGAATCCTGGGAATACCAGTGATAGCACTGCTCTGAGCAGCACCTTCAGCTCTTTAAACTACTCCAGCTGTTTGGGTCCTCCCTGCTGAGCTCCCAGATGTCAGGGAGCAGAGACAAGCAACTCATGCTGTACCCTGTCCAAATTCCTGACCTGCATGAGCATGAGAAGCGGTTGTGTTTTATGCCACTAAGTTTGGGTGGTTTGTTATGCAGCAATAGAAAACCAGAACATGTGGAATCTCCTAAGTTTTAAAAGCCATGCCTAATTCAAGATTTTACAACAACAATGGCAGTACCACAATGCTGGCCAATGCTGTGCAGACCAAACACGATTGCTGGATTTGTTCCCATAGGACACCAGCTTGAGACTTCAACTTAAGAAATTATAAATGGTAGGTGGTCGATGACCAATGGGACAAAAGAGAACCAGCAAGGAGGGCAGAGATTTCTTTGCAGAGAGATGGCAGGCACAGGGATTAGTGGGGTGCTCAGAATTAGTGCAGGTTTTCAAAAAATGAATGTTAAATGCAAGAAGGTTCTCATTGAGAGGCCAAAGGACCTTAATTGATCTGGAATACATTGGCATCTCATGTACCATATACTTAGATGTTTTGGAATTCACTCAAGAAAACCACTGATAGCTATTTTGGATCCACAAATACCAAGTATTTTCTCCTTGCAGGGAACCTCAGTCTGCAGGGTCCCATTTGTTTCATCCTTGCCTGGGAGCAACTAGGCACTGAGTTTTCCCAGGTTGCATTGTGAGAAAACACTAGAATGGACAGGACAAAGGCAGATAGCATAAGGAGACAGGCCCTTAGCAAATAGAGTCCATGCGAATAAGTCTGTGTGGACTCAGAGGACAAATGTAACAAACTCTTACATGGGCCAGCCTTCTCATCTCATGGGTAACTTGTTTCTAGTTACCCCTTGGATTGTGAAATTCATTTATACAAGATTGCCCATCAGTTGCAGTTAGCAAAGAGCACAGACCATTTTCAAACACATTACATATTGGAGCAAGAAGAGGTCTTATCATTCAGTCTTCTTGTTTTACAGACAAGGGAAAGGAAGGCCCAGAGAGGGAGAAGGACCTGCCCAAGGTCACACGGCCAGTTAGTGAGCAATTGAACGTGGAGCTCAGCTTGCCTTTCATTGTGCAACCAACTCATTTTTTCTGTGCTTTCAGTAGCTTTCTGTTTGACTTCATCTAACCACCTTCAGAGCACAATTTATACTCTTCTTCATGATTTCAGTAATTTGTGAAGACAGTATATTTTTCTAAGAAGGCCGAATTTTTCTAAGCTACAACTTTCTGCTGCTTTTATAGAATACTGTCTGTGCAGGGCTGTAATGAGAGTGGTTTATGTTGTCTTCTCAGCTCTGATTACCTCCGCTGAAGTGGGTGGGCTTATGTGGGCACTTACATTCTATAAGAATCTGGTTCTTACTCCATTTCCAATTCCTAAGTGATTTGACCCAGGATAGCTAGTCCATCAGCTGGACAGAAACCAATGGTTCTCTCTAAATACTTCCTACCAAGAGACTCAGGAACCATGGCTGGATGGCAGTGAGCTCTTGAATTAAAATGTTATATGGAGCAATAGCTGTGTGCAAGCTGAAGATAAGCAGTAAGATTTAGGGAAATCTGCATTGAAGATGGACAGGGGAGCAAACCCACAGAAAGAAGCCAAGGCAGGATCATGTGGCCTGGAGTGGGCAAAGGAAAGCACCGCTGTCCTCATGGGGCTCCCCTGCCAATCTTGTGCTATGGGGCCTGGCCGATAGCCTTTCTACTTGAACGAGCTATTTCTTACAACCCACTGATCTTCCCTCAGTGAGCCATAACCTAACAGTAGAGATAAAATATGTCAGGTCATTGAGTACCTGTAGATTCTAATTTGGCAAGTGTGGACAGGGCCTGGATGGCATATTTTAAAAGACCTTACTTCGCAATTCAGCAGACCAGCCAAGATCAAGAGCATCGTCCTGCAGAATAAGGTCCTGGCTCCTTGTAGGTACACATCCCCTTCTGTGCCTTGGCCTTGTCTGCCTCATTTGCCTCACTTTGCCCCAAGTCCTGCCTCAGAATTTATGCTTTTGAGCTTATGCTCAGAGATTTTCTCTAAGCTTCAGGGCTAAGCGGGATGGAATCCCTTCAAGGGCATCCTCCCCTAAGCTACAGAGCTACTCAAGAGGTCATATCTCCCTCTGAGTCCGCAATTCCTTCCCTCCTCATTTACAATCTTTCTCCATTTTATACCCTAGACTTCCCTCGGTCCCAGGGAAAGCACAGGAGGAATTAGGACTTCTCTGGGGCCATCCCAGGTCCTCACCTGCCCCCTGCCCCTGTGCTTCCTTCTACCTCCTCCTGGAATCACCCTCTTTCCTACAGGGAGTACCTCCCTTCCCTCCTCTCCTCCTGTCTCCCTCCCCCAGCCTGAGACATTCAGGCCAGAAGAACATCCTGGCATCTGCTGGGGGTCGGAAGGCTTTGGGGACAGACGTGAGCTGAGGGTGGAGAAGGGGGTCTGGTGTTCCAAGATGTGTCCTTCACATTCATTATTTTAGCTGACTTTTTTTTTTGAGCCTAAGAGAAATGCAAACACCTATCTCAAGAACAGACACTTTACACGGAGCTGTCTAGTACCATATTAAGCTGAAATGAGGAAATATTTTCCCAATTAGCAAGACACCTTCTATTTCCTGAGTCTTGAGTGCCTGTTAATAGATCAGTGTGTGGTTTCCGTCCTACTCACTGGTGGCTTCCTGTAACTTGAAGAAGCTACAGTATTCTTTTTGGTCTCTGAGACACCAGGAAGGGAACCTAACTTATTGGGTTATCCCACTTCTGACACCCCTGCCCCCAATTCCCTTCTTGCTGCTACTTCCCTCTTCTATGCTAGCTGTTCCCTTTGCCTTGAATCTCTTGTCTTTGCACTCCTTTACCATGCTGACTCCTGTCTTTTCTTTTCTGTTTTTTTTTAAGAAGGAGTCTCGCTTGGTCGCTCAGGCTGGAGTGCAGTGGCACAATCTTGGCTCACTGCAACTTCTGCCTCCCAGGTTCAAGCTGATTCTCCTGCCTCAGCCTCCTGAGTACCTGGGGTTACAGCCGCATGCCACCACACCAGGCTGATTTTTGTATTTTTAGTAGAGATGGGGTTTTACCATGTTGGCCAGGCTGGTCTTGAACTGCTGACCTCAGGTGATCCACCCACCTTGGCCTCCCAAAGTTCTGGGATTACAGGCGTGAGCCACCTGGCCTGGCTGACACTTTTCTTGGCGTTAACATGACTCCACATTTTTATTTTTCATACAGGACTCTGTTAGTTATTTAGTAAAGGAGACTCCGGACACCAGAAATAGCACCTCCCTCTGGAAGCTTTCCTTGATTTCCTCTCCTTTCTGTTCTCATAGACTCCATATCTGTCTCCATGTTGCACTGATCAGAGATAAGCACAAGGGCTTGATGATGGCTGAGTAATAGGTTAGTGGAGCCCTATAGCAAAGGGTCTCTTGGCCCCAGGAGTGATAGCATGAGACTACAGCATGACTATAGGTGCCTGAAAGGAGCTGTGGAAAGGGGTGGGTGATGGAGAAGCAGAGGATAATGGACGGGGTGAGAGCAGAGAGGGAGGAGCCACAGCCCACGATGGGGCCAGCCTGGGAAGAGAACTGGCTCTGGACATGCATGCTGGGAGGACCTGGAGCAGAGACACCTTGTAGAGAAGAGCAGATGACAGAGGGTACCTGGCAGATGGATGTCTTTGGTCCTGTAGGCTCGTGACTTTCAAATTTCTTTGAACCATAAATCATAATAAGGAAAACATTGTACTTCACAATCCAGCAAATAAATACACATCTACATGCTGTCTGAAAACAAGTTTCATAAAAAGTACTTAATTTTATTACATGTGAAGCACTGATACGTTCTATTCAATTCTAGTCTCTTTTATTGAAAAAATGCAGGTCAGACCATCTAAATTGATCTTACAACCCCTTAACAGATCAAGTTTGTGCATGTGTGTGTGTTTACCAACATTTTTTTGAAAAAATTAAATTCACAGAAAGATTAAAGAACAGTGAACATCCATATGCCCTTTATCTAGATTCATCACTTGCCACATTTGTACTATGTACATGAATATAATACACACATATATGGACATGTACATATGTGTGTACATGTGTACACACACACAACTGATTCCCATTATTCACGTATAGTTATACTCTAGAGAGTCATAGTGAACACTGAATTAGAGAATATGGAACCATTGTTCCTAAGGGAGATACAGGGCTAGATTGCTAAGAACCTCTGCTGGCATTTTCATTAAGCTTGTTTTGTGTGTGTTTCTGTTTGAAGACACTTTATGTATTATATATTGTTGATTCAGTAACACTGAGCATATGGCCGTTAGTGCTATGACTCATGTCTGAACGAAGCTTCTCTAACACGTGTTTTCTCCATGAGGTTCATCACAGCCCTCTTGCTCATGGGAACACTAGACAGCACTTCAGCCTTGTGCGTGGGGCAATCTTAAGTAGTGAAATCACCAACAAAAATAAAAATGCAAAAAATGTGCCACTAAATAGACCACAGAAAGGACACTTGTTTACAGTGTGAAACAAGAAGACAGAGTGTTGATCAACCTTCCTTGACCTCATCTGAGAATGTTTGTATCGGATGACTCAAAGTTTTCATCACTCTGTATGTCTGCAAGTAACCGTCAAAGCCCTATGAATATTGATTCAGGGGGCTATAATTCTGAAATACATTTTAGCAAGCAGGCAAATCTGCAAATATAGAATGTCAGTGATGAGTATCAGCTGTTTGTATGTGTGAACGTTGCAGACACTATGTCTCTTCCCCCTGAATGCATCTTTTAAGAATAAGGATATTCTCCAACATAACTACATGACCGTTACCCTGCCCAGGATAACTAACCTTCATTCAATAATATCATCTGTTATGCAGTTTATATTCAAACTTCTCCAATGTTCCCCAAGAATTCGAAGAGCTGTTTTTTGGGGGGGGCCTAAATTCAATCAAGGCTCACCCACACATTGCATGTAATTGTCTCTTTAGTCTCCTTTAATCTATACATCTCCTGCCTTTTAAGAAATTAACATTGATATGTTTGAAGAGTCCAAGCCAATGGTCTCTTAGAATGTCCCACATCCTAGATTTATCTGGTTGCTTCCTCATGATTAAATGTTGATGAAACCCTTTGGGCAGGATTACCCCAAAGCGGGTATTGGGTACTGCTTTTGCAGGCCAGGAGAAGGCTCCTATCACTTTGTCCCTCTATTGGTGAGGCTGTTTCATTCCTTCATTAAATTACTGCTGTAGATTGGGTGTGATGGCTCACTCACGCTTGTAATCCCAGCACTTTGGGAGGCCAAGGCAGGAGGATCCCTTGAGCCCAGGAATTCGAGACCAGCCTGGGCAACATAGGGAGACCCCATCTCCATACAAAATTTAAAACATTAGCCAGGCATGATGGCACATACTTGTAGTGCCAGCTAATCAGGAGGCTGAGGCAGGAGGGCTGCTTGAATCCAGGAATTTGAGGCTGCAGTGAGTCATGATTGTGCCCCTGCACTCCAACCTGGGTGACAGAGTGAGACTCTGTCTCAGGAACAAATAAATAAAAATGAAGTGCTGCTCTAGGTGAAGTAGGGTCAGCGCTGTAGAGGTGAGGGCCTGAAGAGTGGAGGAAGAACCAGGGATCATTGTTGTGAATGGGGAAGGAAGTCTTAGGGGCTGAATCCCGGCAGCGGCCTCTCTCCCAGGAGCAGAGGGCCTGCATCTGTCCTGGAGCCCTTCCCTTGTCAAGAGCATGAAGAAACACAGCGTCAATGTCTGGGGGCCTACTTTCAATTTCCAGTGAAATTAGGACAAAGTTCCTTTAGGCTTGATATCATTTCTTTTAAGCCTGAGGCTTGAAGTTGGAGCATTCTAAATGCGTAGGAAACTGTTATGAATAGCAACGAAAGGCAGAGTAACTAACACCTGACATAGCTATTTTCCTTGCCATTGCCTCTGCATGATTTAATATTTAATATGCTTGTGGTCAAACCAAGTCTGAACAGAGCAAGCCTGAAGCACTTCTAGCAACACAGCCAGGTGGCCAGGAGCCCAAAGTGATATAACTGCGGTTTACTCACAGGCTTTCAGAGTAACCTTTAGGGCTGGTTGAACTCTCAGACACCACTTAGCATTTCCTAACAATGATCTGTAATGCATTTGGGAAGCCTGTCTGAATCACCCAATTAGATCATGCTTTCTAATGGGCCTCAATGCAGAGATGCTGCCAACAGCTTTGGCAGAGGCACACAGAGCCCCCTTCTTTACAAGGCATCTTCCACTCTCTGTTTTTGATTTCACTCTCACAACATCACTGTGTTGTATCCCAGGTGGATGCTACTATTCCCACTTGCAGATGAGGAATCTGAGGCTCGCTGAAGTTAAGTGACTTGTGCAACGTCACAAAACCATTGAATGGTTGCTGTGAGCTTTCAACTCAGGAAAGGGCTTGACTTTCCCCTCAGGTGCCCTTTCCACTGTGGTGTTGGGAGTTAAGTAGAGGCAGACAGGTCATTACTGGATGGGAAATGCCCTGTGAGCCATTGCCAGCTATGTTTCTGTGTTGGCCTCCAGCAGTGCTTGTCTGATCAGAGACAGGGGTTATGTGGTTAGAACTGGGAAGAAGGCACCCACTAAAATTCTCTAGTGACTTGTTTTCACTTTTGTTTTAGGTTTAGGGGTATAAGTACAGGTTTATTATATAGGTAAATTGCATGTCACAGGGGTTTGGTATACAGATTATTTCATCACCCAGGTAATAAGCAGAGTACCGGATAGACAGTTGTTGAATCCTCACCCTCCTCCCACCTTGTACCTTCAAGTAGGCCCCGGTATCTATTGTTCCCTTCTTTGTGTTTACGTGTACTCAGTGTTTAGCTCCCACTTACAAGTGAGAACGTGGAGTATTTGGTTTTCTGTTTCTTTGTTAGTTTGCTGAGGATAATGGCCTCCAGCTCCATCCATGTTGCTACAAAGGATATGAGCTCATTTTTTAAAAATGGCTGTGTAGTATTCCGTGGTGTATATGTACCACATTTTCTTTATCCAGTCTACCATTGATGGGCATATAGGTTGACTCCATGTCTTTGCTCACTGTGAATAGTGCTGCGGTGAACATACATGTGCATGTGTCTTTATGGTAGAATGATTTATATTCCTTTGGGTATATACCCAATAATAGGATTGCTGAGTTGAATGGTAATTCTGTTTTGAGTTCTTTGAGAAATCTCCAAACTGCTTTCCATAATGGCTGAACTAATTTACATTTCCACCAGCAGTGTATGAGCATTCCCTTTTCTCTGCAACCTCGCTAGCATCTGTTATTTTCTGACTTTTTAGTAATGGCCACTCTGACTGGTGTGAAATGGTATCTCATTGTGGTTTTGATTTGCATTTCTCTGATGATTAGTAATGTGGGCATTTTTTCATATGCTTTTTGGCTGCATATTTGTCTTCTTTTGAAAACTCTGTTTATGTTCTTTGCCCACTCTTTAATGGGGTTGTTTTTTGCTTGTAAATTTAAGCTTATAGATTCTTGATATGAGACCTTTTTCAGATGCATACTTTGCAAATATTTTCTCCCATTCTGTAGGTTGTCTGTTTACTCTGTTGGTAGTTTCTTTTACTGTGCAGAAGATCTTTAGTTTAATTAGGTCCCATTTATCCATTTTTGTTTTTGTTGCGATTGCTTTTGGAGTCTTGGTCACAAAATCTTTTCTGTAGCCTATACCCAGAATGCTATTTCCTAGGGTATTTTCCACAGTTTTTATATTTATGTTTTACATTTAAGTCTTTGGTTCATCTTGAGTTGATTTTTGTATATGGTGTAAGGAAGGAATCCAGTTTCAATCTTCTGCATATAGCTAGCCAGTTATTCCAGCACCATTTATTGTATAGGGAGTCCTTTCTCCATTATTTGTTTTTGTTGATTTTGTCGAAGTTCAGATGGTTGTAGAGGTGTGGCTTTATTTTTGGGCTTTCTACTTTGTTCCATTGGTCTATGTGTTGGTTTTAGTACCAGTACCTTATTGTTTTGATTACTGCAGCCTTGTAGTATAGTTTGAAGTCTAGGTATAGAATCATATTGTCTACAAACAGAGATAGTTTGACTTTGTCTCTTTCTATTTGGATGGCTTTTATTTCTTTATCTTGCCTGATTGCTATGGCCACGACTTCCAGTACTATGTTGAATAGGAGTGGTGACAATGGGCATTCTTGTTTTGTTCTGGTTCTCAAGGGGAGTGCTTCCAGCTTTTGCCCATTCAGTGTGATGTTGGCTATGGGTTTGTCATAGATGGCTCTTATTATTTTGAGTTATGTTTCCTAAATGCCTAGTTTGTTGAGGGTTTTTAACATGAAGGGATATTAAATTTATTGAAAGCCTTTTCTGCTTCTGTTGAGATGATCATGTGGTTTCTGTTTTTATTTCTGTTTATGTGATAAATCACATTTGTTTATTCGTATATGTTGAACCAACTTGTGTCCCAGGAATTAAAGCCTACTTGATCATGGTAGATTAGCCTTTCTATGTGCTGCTGGATTCAGTTTGCTAGTATTATGTTGAGTATTTTTGCATGTATGTTCATCAGGGATATTAGCCTGAAGTTTTCTTTTTTCACTGTGTCTCTGCCAGGTTTTGGAACCAGAATGATGCTGGCCTCATAGAATGAGTTAGGAAGGAGTACCTCCTCCTCAGTTTGTTGGAATGGTTTCTGTAGGAATGGTAGCAGCTCTTCTTTATAAATCTGGTGGAATTGGGCTGTGAATCTGTCTGGTCCTGGGCTATTTCTGGTTGGTAGGCTTTTTATTACTGCTTCAGTTTTGGAACTCATTATTGGTCTGCTCATGGATGTGTTTGTAGTAGTCCCCAAGGGTTTTTTGTATTTCTGTTGGGTCAGTGGTAATGTCCCTTTTGTAATTTCTGATTGTGTTTATTCGGATCATCTCTTTCTCTTTTTTTCTTTGTTAGTCTAGCTAGTGGCCTATCAATCATATTTATTCTTTCAAATAATGAACTTTTGATTTTGTTGATCTTTTGTATATTTTTGCATCTCAATTTCATTCAGTTCATCTCTGATTTTGGTTATTTCTTTTCTTCTGCTAGCTTTGGGGTTGGTTTGCTCTTGTTTTTCTAGTTCTTCTAGGTGTGATGTTAGGTTGTTAATTTGAAATCTTTCTAACTTTTTGATGTGGGCATTTAGTGCTAGAATCTTCCCTCTTAATGTCTGGTGACTTCCCAGAAGGTCAGGAGGGCTCCCTCTACTGGAAGCATCAAAAGTGGCCCACAGCTTGGTGGTCAAGACCATAGAGTTAGAATTAGATTGAGATTGGAATCTCAGCTCTGCCTCTTACTGATGTGTGGCCTTGAGCAGGTTGTTTAACCTTGCTCATTGTAAGTCTTCTTACCTATAAAGTGTGGTTTTATAGTTTTTTATGAAGATTGAATTATTGTATGTAAGGTACTTAGATCAGTAGTAGACACTCTATAATTAATAACTGTTATTGTATAATGCACTTAGTAAACACTAAATAAAAAGCCATTGTCATGGCATTGAGATATTTTCATGAACAGTGGTTGCTACTTGCAGACGATGTCATTGAGAACTGAACATATTCTGTGACAGTGTCTCCCAGAGGCTAAAGAAACTTCCTAAGTACAGAAGCCTGTGATTTGCACCTATATAATGTGCTCCATGAGACAGTTTTCCATCATGTAATCAGTAGTGCATTGAATAAGTGCTGGACAAATGGAGGTAAGAGTTGTGTTTCTTGCCCTCAGGGAACTTATGATCTGGCTGGGGTTGGCCAGTGGGGGAAGGTGCAAAAACCCATGCATAGAAGATAAACACCAAATATGGTAACATCATCCATATGGAGAGGATTGGGTCCCTTTGGAGTACAGAGAATTAGGGGAGGCAAGAGCCAGGGTGGCCAGGCAAGTCCTGGCATAGGAAATGGACTTGAAAAGTAACATTAAGTCATTCCTACTCCCTCCTTGCTGAGCAGGAATGAGAAGGCTAACTCCCAATGACAGGTACCGACTTGGTATCAGTTCAGAGGACCTCCCAGGCCTCTCTGCCCTTTGGTGGGGGTGTTACCTTGTGTTCAATTGTAATTCTCTCAGAGGGTCCAGGCAGCTGGTATGGGTATTAGTCAGGGTCAGGCCATACATGGGTCTGGGAAGCTCTGTTCATCTACCTGTTTGTCCACTCAATTATCTATATTTGTCTATATGTCTGTCTGTCCACATCTGCTCATTTGCCTGTCCATCTTTTCATCTGTTGACCTGTGTATGTCTGTCCTTCCACTCATCTATCCATCTGTTAGTTCAATCATCCATCTATCTGCTGTCTATCTGTGTGTCCACCTGTCCTTTCCATGTTTCTATTGCTCATCTTATTCCACAAAAGATTTGCAGTGGATTACAGAAAACACAAGGAAACAAAACAAGCAGACACACACGCATGCACGTATGCACACATACACAGGATTAGAAAGGTCTATGAAGCTAAGAAGTTGCAAATGGGAACGGGGCTAAAACTCAGACTATGTAGAAATGACATAATTGGTTGCTGCTATAGTTGAGCCACAAATTTGTCTGCTATTTATTTTTACAGTTATCTTCCCTGAAGTAGACACAATCTACTATTTGTTTACAAGAAAAAATATTTTTTCTTGTTTTTAGCTCAAAAATAACTTTATCTCATGAGGCTTCCTTCAGTTTCTGGGGAGAGGCAGTTGTTGGTAGTTTTATATGGTGGCTTCTAAATCAGACCAGCCTGAGTTCATATACTGCATCCGTCATTCAACAACTGAGTAACCTTGGGCTCACTGAGTCTTTCTGTGTCATACTTTCCTAATCTATAAAAAAATGTGATAAGACAAGTATCATCTCAAAGGGCTACAGTGAGGATTAACTGTGATTGTATATACCCAGAACTTAGTAAGGTGTGGGACATGTAATTAATCTTTAATATATGACAGCACTTGTTATTATTGAACCTAATCATGTTTCGAAAGCAATCTCTTGAGTGTGGTTGAGCATTAGCATTCACTCAGCTTCTGCATGCAGAAATCATGCAGAAAGTCAAGGACAGAGCAGCTCTGCCCAGGATAGTGCCTGCTAGCCTTGGATGGGCAGGGTAGACACTCTCATTCTCCAATCTGTCCTGTCGATTAGCAATCTGCTTTTTCCCTGTCCCTCAAGGTCCAGTCATGGGGGAGTACTTAGCCAGACTGCCCTGACCTTGTGGCCCCAGCTGGGAAGCAGAGACTAGGCAAGCTGCTGCGACTCACCTAATCTTCCCAGCAGCCATCCCTTTGTGCTTAAAGATGATTAATTGCATGGGAGAGTAAGTGTGTATCCCTCTCCTTGGCTGCAGTTGCCTCTCTCCCTCAAGCTCTGCGTAGCCAGCAGCATTTCACTCTTAACCTTGCAGTCTTCCTGGGCCTGATTTGCATCCACAAAGTTTCTATGTCCTATTTAGGAGTTGAACCATCTCTCCTTAGAGATCAAGGGGTGTGGTGCAGGGGACAAGCAGGAGGTGGTGTGGCTTATTCTGTCTGAGAGCAAGAGCCAACAACTCAGTTGTGACTGTGTATATTTGTGTGCGAGGGAAGATAGGGTGAGAATGGAATAATTCCACTTTGTTTTTACTTTTAAGTATTGCACAAATGGTCTCTGGAGTCCGCTGTCAGCTGGTAGACTTTGATTTAAAAGCAATGAATTGTATCCTCCAGTTGTGAGTAAAATTACAAATATCTTCAAGATGCGCAGTGCTCTGAGAAAGGGAGCTCACTCATCCAGGCTCTGCGGATGCCTCCTGTCCAGAGAAGGACACAGCACCTCTCTCTCCAGAGGGGAAGTGGGAAATGCGGAGAAGACTGTGGGGAGCATGTCCCACAACACAGGGACTAGAGAAGAGTATGATTTAGGGACATAGCCTGGATCAGATATGGGGTAGGCAGGAATGGGAAGGCCAAGTGAAGCAACATGGGCCCCTTTCAGGCTCTGCAGGTAAAATCCTCTCAAATTCGTGTCTGGAGAGCAGCTGTGTAGTAGAATACCTGGTATCATCAGGTAGAATGGATGCTACTTGATGAAGGCTTCTTCACCTCAGCAGCAAATATATATATTTGATACAAAGCCTCACTCTGTTGCCCAGGCTGGAGTGCAGTGGTATGATTTTGGCTCACTGCAGCCTGGACCTTCCAGGCTCAAGCGATCCTCCCATCTCAGACTCCCAAGTAGCTGGGACTACAGGCACACCACCACACCTGGCTAATTTTTGTATTTTTTGTAGAGACAGGGTTTCACCATGTTGCCCAGGCTTGAGCTCCTGGGTTCAAGCCATCCACCCACCTTGGCCTCTCAAAGCACTAGGATTACAGACATAAGCCACTGCATCCAGCCAGCAAATATTTACCAAGTGCCCGCAATACAGAAATAGAAAGTCAAAGCTGGGTGTTATGGTTTGGATCTGTGTCCCCACAGAATCTCATGTCGAATCGTAATCCCCGTATTGGAGGCGGGGCCTGGTAGGAGGTGATTGTATCATTGGGGTGACCCTTCATAAAGAGTTTAGCACCATCCCGTTGGTGCTGTCCTCATGATAGTGAGTGAGTGATCATGAGATCCGGTTGTTTAAACGTGTGTGGCACCTCCCACTCTCGTTCTCTTTTCCTTGTTGCTCTGGCCATGTAAACTGCCTCACTCCCCCTTTGCCTTCTGCCATGATTGGAAACTTCCGTTATGCTTCCTGTACAGCCTACAGAATCATGAACCAATTAAACCTCTTTATAATTTGCCCAGTCTCAAGTATTTCTTCATAGCAGTGCAAGAACAGACTAATATGCGGGACATAGTGTCTCCCACCTGTAATCCCAGCACCTTGGGAGGCCAAGACAGGAAAATGGATTGAGGTCAGGAGTTTGAGACCAGGCTGGGCAAGATAGCAAGACTTCGTCTCTACAAAAAATAAAAAAAATGAGCCAGGTGTGGTGGCATGTGTCCGTAGTCCCAGCTGCTCCCAGCTGCTTGAAAGGCTGAGGCAGAAGGATTGCTTGAGCCCAGGAGTCTGAGGCTGCGGTGAGCTGTGATTGCACTACCGCACCCCAGCCTGGGCGACAAAACGAGACCCTGTCTCAAAAGAAATTAATAAAGTATGGTGCTCTTGGGATATGAAACCCGTGGATAGGGAGGACCAACTTTTTGTATATATGCAGGTTCCACAGGGCCAACTTCAAGACTTGAGTATGTGTGGATTTTGGTATCCAAGGGGATCCTGAAATGAATTCCCCAACTCTACTGAGGGACTGCTATATATTCAATAATTGTTTTTCAAAGAGGTCACATCTTCTTGGTATAGTTAAGCATATTGCAGAAGGAGTTTAAGCAAGATGTATACTTGGGGAAGGCAACCAAAGGGAAAGGTTGCTGAAAGGGAGATTTGGCCCCTTCTCAGCTAACCCTTTGGCCAGGGGCTCAGCTCCAAGACCCCCCGTCTGAACACCTGGGAATGAGAACACTGGGGCATGCCATTTTGAAAAGAAAAAACTACTAATTACCTGCATAGAATAGATATTAAGAAGAGATTTCTCTAGGGATTTCAAAAAAAATAATCCATTGATTTAATAACTAACCAATTTCCTTATGGAAACAACGACATTTCATCAAGCACATGTTTAATTTTGGACATTCAACAATTTTCTGGATAAAAGAGAAAGAAACGCACGTGGGAGCACACACACACACTCACTCGCTCTTAAATGGTCTGGACCATTGACCCTGCCAATCTCAGTGCTTACAGACCTGGTGAACATGAATGGGAAATTAGAATATAGGCTTTCTTCAATAGGTCTCAGTTTTTATGAACCGTACACAGAATGAGTATTTCGTTGCTTTGGTGTTGAACATTTTTTTTTTGGTTTTTGTTTTAAAATGACCAATCTACTTCATTTCATACTCACTGGAGAGATGAATCTGTTGTAATCGTGGAGGAAACCTTGGCTTTGTTGGACTTACTGAGAGATACTGTCTTCAACATGGTGCTCTCCTAAGGAAATTTCAAGAGTACTTTTAATCATTTGTGAGCATATAAGTTTAGTTTTAGATGCGTATAATATAAAACTCAAATTAGTGACTTAAGATGGATTTTGATATCTTTCCAACAAAAATGTCCAGAGAAAAAAATGGTCCGGGTTGGTGACTCTGTGGCTGTGAAAGATCCAGGTTCTGCCTGTCTTCTGCTTCTTCTATTTGCCAAGACCAGCTTGGTCAGGGAGACCCTAATCCAGCAGCGCTAGAGGAATTAAACACACACACAGAGAAATATAGAGTGTGGAGTAGGAAATCAGGGGTCTCACAGCCTTCAGAGCTGAGAGCCTCGAACAGAGATTTACCCATGCATTTCCTGACAGCAAGCCAGTGATAAGCATTGTTTCTATAGATTATAGATTAACTAAAACGATTCCTTATGGGAAATAAAGGGATGGGCCGAAATAAAGGGATGGGTTTGGCTAGTTATCTGCAGCAGGAACATATCGTTAAGGCACAGATCACTCATGCTGTTGTTTGTGGTTTAAGAATGTCTTTAAGCGGTTTTCCACCCTGGGTGAGCCAGGTGTTCCTTGCCTTCATTCAGGTAAACCCACAACCTTCCAGCGTGGGCGTCATGGCCATCATGAACATGTCACAGTGCTGCAGAGATTTTGTTTATGGCCAGTTTTGGGGCCAGTTTATGGCCAGATTCTGGGGGGCCTGTTCCCAACACTATTATTGGCACATGTTTTCCAACTCAAGGCCACCCATGACCCAAGATAATTACAGTAACATCTTAGAGTCACATTCTAGGCAGGAAGAAGGAGAAAGGGAGGAAAGAGCACAAAGGTGACCCTCCCAGTCAAGTAAACCCCTTTGAGATGCTTTCCCAGCAGCTCCAACGATGACTTCAGCCTATATAGCATTGGCCACACCTAGCTTCAAGGGAGACTGGGCATACTGTTACCCAGAAGAGTCCTGGGGTTCTATTAGCGTGTGAGTAGGGGAGAATGAGTGTTGGGGAGGAAATAGTCTCTGCTATGAGTTTTTTGCTTATGAACTGACTTTAAAATCCAATCTCCATGTAAGGTAGATCTCCAATGTAACTCAGAGCCCTCCAGGTCTTCTGGGGCTCTTTGTGACTTGCTCATTCCTAGAAGGCAGGAATGCTGACATGGGCTAACCCAGAGGGCACTAGGGCACCAACTGACATGGTGTGAGTTTGCTCTGCAATTTGGATGGAGAGTAGAAGGGCAGAAAGTAGGTTCTTCATCCTTACTTTATAGAGGAAGAAAGCAAGTATAGCAGTGACAGTTTCTCAGGGACAAGAAGGGCTAGAAACATGGTAGTACAGGATGCAGGAAGGAAGAGGCAGAGCTTTATTGGTGGTGGGGAGGCGGGGGTGGGGATGGAGGGTGGGGCCTTTAGCACTTTGTATCACCAATGCTGAGTCCTGGGAGCCTTCTGTAGAGGGTGTGTCAGAAAATGTTCGGGAGTGTATTAGGCCATTCTTGCCTGGCTATAATGAAATACCTGAGACTGGGTAATTTATAAAGAAGAGAGGTTTAGTTGGCCCATGGTTCCACTGGCTTTACAGAAAGCATGGTGCTGGCATCTGCTCAGCTTCTTGGGAGGCCTCAGGAAGCTAATAATCATGGTGGAGGATGAAGGTGGAGCAGGCATGTCACAGGCCAGAGCAGGAGCAAGAAGGGTGGGGAAGATGCACACGATTGTCAATGACCAGATGTCCCAGATCTTGTGTGAACTCAGAGCAAGAGCTCATTTATCACCAAGGGGATGGCCCAAGCCATTCATGAGAGATCTGCCCCCATGATCCAAGCACCTCCCACTAGGTTCCCCCTCCAACATTGAAGATTACATTTCAACATGAGATTTGGGTAGAGACAAATATCCAAACTATATCAAGGAGTGTACAAGCACCCACTTTTGGAGTAGGCACTCTGCCAGGGAGGGAAATGTTTTTCTGCCCATACACAAATATACTCCTTGTTATATTGACTGCTGGATTTGGCCAATTTTCTTTTATTCAGCATACCACTCTAGTCTGCCTTTGGTCTGATGTTCTCTTAGAGTTATTCTGAGAAAATACAGCCTGAGAAGATAAGCAGACAAGTAGACAAAGACAAATGTACAGGGATGTTCAATGCAGCATTGTTCAAAGATTAGATAAACCTTTAAGATTGGATTAACTTTTATTGTAGCCAATAAAAAATTGGATACGACCTAAATGTTCTAAATGTTCATCAATAGCATATCAGTTAAATTACGAAACAGTCATCTAAAGAATGCTGTGGGGTCTGTAAAACCGAAGCCAAGATTTATCAATTCACTGGTATAGAATGAGCTCCATGACATATCGCAGAGTGATAAAAGGGTCACAAATCATTCATTTATAGTAGTATCCCATTTATATAAAATGTTAAAAAATATAATCTATGCACATTTATGCACAGAACAATATCACAAAGGACGTGTTCCAAGATGTTTGACATGATGACATTTTATTTTTATTTTTTTGAGATGGAGTCTCACTCTGTTGCCCAGGCTAGAGTGCAGTGGCGCAATCTCAGATCACTGCAACCTCCACATCCTAGGTTCAAGAGATTCTCCTGCCTCAGCCTCCCAAGTAGCTGGGATTACAGGCATGTGCCACCACACCTGGCTAATTTTTTGTATTTTTAGTAGAGATGGGGTTTCACCACGTTGACCAGCCTGGTCTTGAACTCCTGACCTCAAGGGATCTGCCCACCTCGGCCTCCCAAAGTGTTGGGATTATAGGCGTGAGCCACCGCGCACAGCCAGACATGGTGACTTTTTAATCTCTTATTCTTTTTTATACTTCCCTGTGTTGATTGAGCATTCCAAGGATGTGCTATCTTTATAATCCAGAAGAAATTAGGAATTTAGAATTTAGGAAAAAATATACGTATGTAAAAAACTGGAAGAAAACCCTCAAATGGCCATACCTTTTGGTTGGAATTATAGATACATTTTTTTCTCCTTTCTTCTCTTTTTTACCCCCAGACTTTCTAGTGTGATTATGATGTTTATAATAGAAAAATGAATTAAAAATAGTACTAAGAGATAATACTAATTGTTTTCAAGGATGGTTATAGATGCTTTTGCATTCATAGTTGCATATCTACATAACAATTCAACCTCTCTTCCATCAGGGTGCCTAGTCAAGAAGGCAGGCACATAAACAACGGACCTTAAACTAAGGTGACAAGTGAGACATCAACAATAAGAACAAGGCCCCATGGGGCCACCAAGGAGGCACCAGGATCTCTGATCAAGCCAGTAGTGGGGTGGCAAATGACAATAAAACAATATTCATTTGTAGGAAAGGATTCACAAATCAAGGAGTTGAGACAGACCCCATAGGTCATCCAATTTCTTTCCTGTGAATGTAGCCATCTCCTCCCTTATATCCCATCAGAGGGAATTCGGTCTTTTCTTGAACAATTGCAGTGACCAGCAAGCTCAAAACCATGGACGTCTGCTATATCCATTGCTGAATGCTCCATTTGTTAGAAAGTCCCTGGTCATAGTGATCTCAACTCAGTCTCTTCGAAACTTGTACTCATTGTCCCTCTTTCTATTTTGTGGGTTAACAAGAGGCAGGTCTCTTAGAACATGACTGAATGCCCTTGGCAGTGGCTTTCAAACTGTCCTGTGAAAGCCAGGTTTCCTGGAGATGCCTCTTCTAAATGCTCTGTTTTGAACTGTGTATGTTCCTTTACAGAGCGAGGTGGGCACTGAGAACTTCAGCTCAGGTCGGGGCTGGCCAGCTCTGAACCTCACAGGAACAATAGTTCTCTTGCCTTGGACCTGCCTGTCTGTGTACAGTGGGGGCCCAGGCCCTGTCATTCTTGCTACCCCATCTCTCATTGTGGCTTCTGTTTCCTAGGTCCTCGAGGATTTTTCTCATTTCCCAGTCTGACTTTGTAGCCTTTTCCTACCTTTCTCTGCAGCGATAGTTTTGTATTTTCTGCTTAAGTTAGTCAAAATCAACTTCTGTTGTTTGCAACCAAAGAACCCTGTCTGGTACAGATGGCATTCACTTCTTTATCATAAATAGATATTACATTAATCACTCATGTTAAGATTCTGGTTAACCAAATCCATCCTTACCCCACTCCACCCCTGATTACTTTATACTGAGGCTGTCACTAAGCCAGATCTGTCTATCCTGTGCATGTGGAAGTGATCTTTTATTTTTACCCTTTAATCTGTCTCCATTACATTAAATGTTGTTAATTTGGTCAATTTCTGTTGGGGTTACTTTTAATCTGGATGCCTGGCTTTCATCTATCACACTCAACTAGGTTTTGTCTTATCAGCAGATGCCACAAAATAACATAATGCATCCATGGACCACTGTCTAGATTCTGACATATTTTCTTCTGAATTTGATAATGCCAAGTGATGGTGAGAATGTGGGATGCTGGTGGGGGTATAAACTCATACTACCACTTTGAAGACAGACTGCAGGAAATTAAAATAAAATTAAAAATGGAGATACCTTGTCGGGCGTGGTGGCTCATGCGTGTAATCATAGCACTTGGGAGGCTGAGGCGGGTGGATCACGAGGTCAAGAGATCAAGACCATCCTGGTCAACATGGTGAAACCCATCTCTACTAAAAATACAAAAATTAGCCAGGTGTGTTGGCATGCACCTATAGTCCCAGCTACTCAGGAGGCTGAGGCAGGATAATTGTTTGAACTCAGGAGGCGGAAGTTGCAGTGCGCTGAGATCACACCACTACACTCCAGCATGGGCGACAAAGCAAGACTCTGTCTCAAAAAAAAAAAAAAAAGAAAAAAAACCCACAACAACAAAAACCTATACCCTATAACAGAGAAATCTTATTTCTAGGTAAAATGGAAAATGTTCCCTTGTCCCCCTTGCAGGGTGTGCAATGGGGGTGTGGCTCGCTTCTTTGGTGCCCCACTGCTCAAACCTCCATGGGGAGCATGCAGACGGTCAGGCTGTGGTGCTCTGACCCCATAGCAGTGTCTAGGGGTGAATGTTTACCTGAAGCCCCAGTGGGCGTATGTTACAGGGTGCTCTTTCAGTTTAGCAGTCCGTAGGTAGCTTGTGTTACTCAGCTGAATTAGACCCCTGCCTTATCGCAAGGACGGAGGGCTTTCCGTGTCCTGGGGTTTTTGCCTTGGTGTACCGGAAGAATCAGATCACTCATGTGCTTGGAGAATGAATGCAAGGTTTTATTGAGTGGAAGTAGCTCTCAGAAGATGGGGGGGCCAGAAGGGAGATGGTTTTCCCCTGGAGTCAGGATGCCCAGCAGCCAGGATCTCCTCCGTCTGCCCCAGCCAAACTCTGCATTGTTCCAGGAGTCGATGGCCTGCCAGTGTGTTCTTCTGCCAGCATGCTCCTCTGGACATCCTCTTGACATCCAGCCGCTTGTGCGTGCTTGTTGTTCTTCCGCTGGTGTGTTCCTCTTGATGTCCAGCCACTTGTGTCTCTTCTCGCTAGGGTCTTAGGGTTTTTATAGGCACAGGATGGGGGTGTGGCAGGCCAGGGTGGTCTTGGGAAATGCAACATTTGGGTGTGAAAACAGGAGGGCCTGTCCTTACCTAGGTCCATGGGCACAGGCCCGAGGGTGGAGCCCTTGCCAGGAACTATGCTCTTCTCCTCCCAGCACTTCCCTGCCCCCCTCCCATATCATAGGTATACATGCTAAATAAGGTCTTCCACATGGCACATAGAGCTAAGTATTAGAATGCAGATTGTAATAACAAAGTATTGGAAATGATGTACTATATTCATAAAATGAAATATTGTTTTAAAAATAGATTAGATCAAATTTATTACCGGGGATAAATCTCAAATATATAATGTCAAATGAAAAAAAGGAAATAGCAAAAGAATATACCTGGTATAAAACCATTTGTGAATTAAAAAAAAGAAAAAAATACATATGTGATTTTGGATACCTCTATGCATGGTAAAAGTTTAATAACATATGGAAGGGATACATATCAACTTCAGACTAATGGTTATCTCATGGAGAAGAAGGGACAAGAAAGAGATGGTGTGAGAAGGACTGATTCTATAATGACTCTATAATGATTTATGTGGAAATCTTTTTAAACTAACCTTTCTATAGATTTTTATGGTTATTAAAGCACTCGGTGCTGCAGATGACAATCTGGGGTCATACTGATCTGGGTCCAATTCCGGCTTCAGCTGTACAACCACAGGTAAATTGTGTAAGCTCCATCAGCATCAGTTTTCTCCTCTGTTAAATGGGAACAATAATTAAGCCTATTTTACAGACTTGCCATGAGAGTGGAATTATATTAGACATCTGAACTGTTGAGCATGGTGCTTGGTTTGTAATAGCGCTAAATAAATGTGAAATATTGGTTTCTTTCCTCTTGCTGAGGCTAGTGAAGCATAAATGGAAGAGGGTAGGAGTGGGAAGTGGTAGGATGGGGAGGGCAGGGAGGAGGATGAATAAGAGTTGTATTCACAGCCGATGTGGGGAACAACACCATGGGAGAGAGGAACTCCATGAGTGAGAGACCGCACTTAAGGAGAAGGCAACGAGTGAAACAGCTGGAAGCATTAGGGAAAAACAACCCAATGCAGCAAGTAACCCAATCCAGTGGAATGAGCTGGGAATCATGGCAGACCAGAGACCAGGAGAAGAAAATATATTTACACTCGTGGAAGGAAATGCAAATGGAAAGACAAATCCCCAGACTGGAGCAAGCAGGCTGGCCCTGCATCCCTGCCTCTCCCTGGGGGCTTCGCAGTCCCCGAGTCTGCCTTTTGCAGGTTACTTCTTTCTTAACCCTTTTCAACTTTACTCAGATTCTGTCAGGAATCCAGATGGAATAGGCTGGGCTACACTTCTCTTGAAACAATCTTCGACCACCTTACCCTGTGCTTTCAGGAATGCTATGGTTTGAATGATGGTGTTGCCTCCAAAATTCAGGTGTAGAGGCTTAATGGCTAGTGTGATAGTATTAAGAGGCGGGTCCTTTAAGAGGCAATTAGGTCCTGAGGCTCCTCCCTCATGAGTGGGATTAGGGAGCTTATAAAAGGACTTGAGGGAGAGGATTTGCTGGCCTTTTCTTTGTGTCTTGCCCTTCCACGTGTGAGAATGAAGCAAGAAATGCTCACCAGATGCCAGCACCTTGATCTTGGACTTCTCAGCTTCCAGAATTTGTGAGGAAATACATTTCTGTTCTCTGTAAGTGGCTCAGTCTCAGGTATTTTGTCATAGTAGCACAAATGGCTTAAGACACAGGAAATGAATGAAGTGTGGTGACCTTATAAAATTTTGTGCTCTTAAAACCCTGAAAAGCTGGTGTGAGTGAGGACTTTCAGAGATAACTCATTGCTTCAGCTACAGAAGGGCAAAGGCTGGCCAAGTGACTCTCATTACCTTTTACCTTGAATCCTGCACCCCATTCTCCACTTTTCCACCTCCTCTCTTTCCCAGTCCAGTTTTATTTTTCTGAGATAGAGTTCAAGTTTATCATTCTTGTGCTCAAGAACATTCAATAGCTTCCCCATCGTCCTCAAAATTAAGGACTGGTTCTTCGGTTTAACCTTCAGGAACCTGCCATAATTTTACCCTAACCCATTTTTCTAACTTTTCCAACTTATTTTTCCTCTAGACTGATTCTTACATCACTACATTCCAGCACCCCCCCAACATTTACTGCTTTTCCATCTTTGCTCTTTTCATCATGTGTTCCCTCCATCCTCCCATTTCCATGTATCCAAATTTTTCTCATCCTTCATAGACTACTTCAAATGCCATTTGCTTTGTAAAGCATTTTTGGATCCACTTTCCTTCCTCCCCTAGCTGGACGTAAGTATTCAGTTCAATTTTACTTAAGAAACTATTGAGATTGGAGTCCAGATTGCCAACTAGATGCAACCAGGAAAAGCTTCTTCCACTGAGAGACAAGACCATCAAGCAGAGCAGCACACTCCAAGATCTTCAGGAGGAAGGCACTGAGAGCAGCAGATGGGGGACAGACAGAGGGAGGATGCAGGCCCTGGGCTGAAGTGGGGAGGTCAGTGGGGACTCTGCATGGGGTTGCTGAGCACCAGGACTCATTCCTGGCCACAGGAAGTTCCTGGAGAAGGAGTGAGTTAAATAGGTGTGGAGCGGCCCACTCTCACCATGGACCTCTGGAATCCTAGCTGCATGAGACCCCATGACCCCATGGGCATTTGAGCTGGTAGCGAGAGCTGCTTGGGGAGTTGGTGGGGACAGGTCTCTAGCCATGCAGAGCCCAGAGGGTTTGGTGCAGGAATGGCTGCAGTGGAGTATATTCAGGAACCCCCATCCTCCAAGGCTCACCATGCTCCTCTAGGTGCCTGTGACCTTTGTTGACTGTCAGACCTAAACAGAGCAGGGCTATGTTGCCTGTGGGATGGGCAACCCCCATGTCTGAGCACCCCCATGTCTGCTTGCCTCTCCTTGGGTTCCTGCTTGGCTGCGCCCACTTGCAGTACAGGCTTAGATGCCCAACTAGGGCATTTACCAGGAGCCACCACCATTTCTCCTTCATGAGCACACCCTGTGTAACCACTGGTGAGCTTCTGCAGATGGGCCAGCATTGGCATGCACTCACTTGCGGCCTCCTCCTGTTGGTTTGCAGGTGTGCATGGGTGGACCTTGCCACCCTGCTGCCACTGGTGCATATGCACAGACCTCACTGCCATGCCATCACTGGACAAGTGGACACATGTGGTCTCCACCACCCCACTGCCACCAGTACCCAAGTGTGCATGCTAACTCTGCTGTGCCACTGCACTGCCACCCCCATATACATGCAGGTAGATTCCATTACACTGCAATTACTGGTGCATGTGCATACATGGACACTGCTGCTCTGCTGCCACCCGTGCATGCAAACACTGCCATGCCACCACCCTGCTGTTGCTAGCACATGTGCATGAGCATGGACCCTGTTGCCACCACTCTGATGAGGCATTTTTTGCCAGCACCCCCAAGGAGAGTGTTGTGGCCAGTGGACTGGGAACACCTCAGCCCCTCCAGTGCAGCAGGTGCTTAACCTTGAGGGGCCAGAGAACAAAGAAGCTGTGGGCCTGGTCCCAGCCCTTCAGGGTTAGAGAACACAGGCCAGGAATGCTAAGCTGAGCCTTGGCTCCCTGAAATCATCCAGAAATGAAGCCAGTAGATTGAACCCAACTTATACCACAATCAAACCCTCAAGGGCATCAAGGATATAAAAGCAAAAGGCCCCATCCAAAAGACAGCAATTTCAAACATCAAAGGAACATCAGTTCACAGAGATGAGAAAGAACCTGTGCAAAAACTCTGGCAACTCAAAAGCTAGAGTGTCTTCTTACCTCCAAAAGACCACACTAGTTCCCCAGCAATAGCTCTTAACTAGGCTGCAATGGTTGAAATGACAGACATCGAATTCAGAATTTGGATGGCAACAAAGATCATCGAGATTCAGAAGAAAGTTGAAACCCAATCCAAAGAATCCAGCAAAATTTTACAAGAGCTGAAAGACAAAATAGCCATTTGAATTAAAAACCAAACTGATCCGGTATAGCTGAAAAACTCACTACAAGAATTTCATAATACAATCATAAGTATTAACAGCAGAATAGACAAAGCTGAGGAAAGAATCTCAGAGCTCGAAGAATGGTTCTTTAAGCCAACTCAGCAGACAAAAATAAAGAGAAAAGAGTGAAGGAAACCACTGAGAAATATGGGATTATGGAAAGAGAGACCAAACCTATGACTCATCGGCATCCCTGAAAAAGGAGGAGAGTGAGCGAGCAACTTGGAAAACATATTTGAGGATATTGTCCACAAAAATTTCCCCAGCCTTTCTAGAGAGATTGATGTTCAAATTTAGGAAATTTAGAGAACCCCTGCAAAATATACAAGATGACCATCCTCAAGACACACGGTAATTCAGATTCTCCAAAGTCAATGTGAAAGAAAAAAATATTACAGGCAGTTAGAAAGAAAGGGCAGGTCACCTACAATGGGAGCCCCATCAGGCTAACAGGGGAGCTTTCAGCAGAAACCCCATAAGCTAGAAAAGATTGGGGGGCCTATATTTAGCATTCTTAAAGAAATTTTGACCATGAATTTTATATCCAGCCAAACTAAGCTTCATAAGTGAAAGAGAAGTAAGATCCTTTTTAGACAAGCAAATGCTAAGGGAATTAGCATTATAACCAGCCTTATAAGAGGTCTTTAAGGGAGTCCTAAACATGGAAATGAGTGACTGTTACGGGCCACCACAAAAACACACACACTTAAGTAATAGACCATTGACACTATAAAGCAACTACACAATCAAGCCTAGATAACAACCATCTAACAATATGATGACAGGATCAAATCAGCATACATCAATATTAACCTTGAATGTAAATGGGCTAAATGCCCCACTTAAAAAGTGCTGAGTAGCAAGTCAGATAAAGAAGCAAGGCCTAACTCTATGCTGTCTTCAAGAGACCCATCTCACATGCAATGACACCCATAAGGCCAAAGTAAAGGGATGGAGAAAAATCTATCAAGCAAATGGAAAACAAACCAAAAAAAAAGATTTTATATTAAAATATAGCAGGGGTTGCTATTCTTATTTTCAACAAAACTGTCTTTAAACCAACAATGATCAAAAAGGACAAAGAAGGGCATTACATAATGATAAAGCATTCAATTTGACAAAAGGACTTAACTATCCTAAATATATATTCCCAACACTGGAACACCCAGATTTGTAAGACAAGTTCTTATAGACCTGCAAAGAGACTTAGATAACCACAAAATCATAGTGGGAGACTTCAACACCCCACTGACAGTATTAGGCAGATCAATGAGGCAGAAAACTAACAAAGATATTCAGGACCTAAACTCAAACTTGACCAAATGGACCTAACAGACATCTACATAACACTCCACCCAAAAGCACATGGCATACACTCTAAAATCAACTGCATGCTCAGCTATAAAGCAATTCTCAACAAATAAAAAAAAAAAAACAAACCTGAAATAATACCAACAATACTCCTGGACTACAGTACAATAAAAAAATCAGTACCAAGGAGATCTCTCAAAACTATACAATTATACGGAAATTAACCTGCTCCTGAAGGCCTTTTGGGTAAACAAAGAAATTAAGGCAGAAATCAAGAAATTCTTTGAAACTAATGAAAACAGAGATATAACATAGTAGAATCTCTGGGATGCAGCTAGAACAGTGTTAATAAGAAAGTTTACAGTGCTAACTGCCCACATCAAAAAGTTAGATCTCAACTTAAAAACCTAACATCACACCTAGAGGAACCAGAAAAACAAGAGAAAACCAACCCCAAAGCTCACAGAAGAAAAGAAATAACCAAAATCAGAGCTGAACTGAATGAAATTGAAGCACAAAAAATACTATACAACAGATTAACAAAACCAAAAGTTTGTTTTCTGAAACAATAAAATTGATACACTACAAGCTAGGGTAATAAAGAAAAACAGAGAAAAGATCCAAATATACACAATCAGAAATGACAATGGGGACATTATCATTGATCCAAAAGAAATATAAAAAACCCTCAGTGACTACTATGAACACCTCTATGCATAAAAACTAGAAAACCTAGAAGAAGTGGATAAAGTCCTGGAAACATATAACCTTCCAAGATTGGACCAGGAAGAAATTGAGACCCTTAACAGACCACAATAATGAATTCCAAAGTTGAAGCAGTAATAAAAAGCCTACCAACCAGAAAAAGCCTGAACCAGATGGATTCATGGCTGAATTCTACCAGATATATAAGGAAGAACTGGACCAATTTTACTGAAACTATTGCAACAAGTTGAGGAGGAGGGACTCCTCCCTAACTCATTCTGTGAGGCCAGCATCATTCAGGCAGAGACACAATGAAAAAAGAAAACTTCAGGCTAATAACCTTGATTAATATACATGCAAAAATACTCAACAAAATACTAACCAACTGAATCCAGAAGCACATCAAAAAGCTAATCCACCATAATCAAGTAGGCTTTAATCATTGGGATGCAAGTTTTGTTCAAGATATACAAATCAATAAATGTGATTCATCACATAAACAGGATTAAAAACAAAACCACATGATCTCAATAGAAGCAGGAAAGGCTTTCAGTAAAATTCAACATCCTCTCATTAAAAACCTCAACAAGCTATGCATTAAAGGAACATACGTAAAAATAATAATAGCTATCTGTGACAGACCCACAACCAGCATCATACTGCATGGGCAAAAGCTGGAATCATTCCCCTTCAGAACTGGAACAAGACAAGGATGCCCACTCTCACCACTCCTATATAACATAGTACTGGAAGTCCTTGCCATAGTAATCGGGCAAGAGAAAGGAATAAAAGCCATCCAAATAGGAAGAGCGGAAGTAAAACTATCTCTGATTGCCAATGATATGATTCCATACCTAGAAATTCCCATAGTCTCTGCCTAAAGGCTCCTAGATCTGATAAACAACTTCAGCAAAGTTTCGGGATAGAAAATCAATGTACAAAATTGGTAGCATTTCTATATACCAATATTGTCCAAGCTGAGAAACAAATCAAGAATGTAATCTCATTTACAATAGCCACAAAAAGAATAAAATACCTAGGAATACAGCTATCCAGGGAGGTGAAAGATCTCTACAGTGATAATTCTAAAACACTGCTGAAATAAATCAGAGATAACACAAACAAATGAAAAAGCGTCCCATTTGTTTACGACAAGAATTACAAAACACTGCTGAAAAAAACTGGAGATAATACAAACAAATGAAAAAACATCCCATGCTCATGGATAGGAAGAATCAATATTGTTAAAATGACCATACTGCCCAAAGCAATGTACAGTTTCAATGCTATTCCTATCAAGCTACCAATGATGTTTTTCACAGAATTAGAAAAAACTATTCTAAAATTTATACGGAATCAAAAAAGCCCAAATTGCAAAAGCAATCCTAATAAAAAAGAACAAAGCTGGAGGCATCACACTACCTGATTTTATTTTACAAAACTAACCAAAACATGATGGTACTGGTACAAAAAGTTACACAGGTCAATGGAAAAGAATAGAGCACCCAGATATAAAGCCACATGCTTACAAACATCTGATCTTTGTCAAAGTTGACAAAAACAAGCAACGGGGAAAGGACCTCCGATTCAATATATGGTGCTGGGATAACTGGCTAGCTATATGCAGAAGAATGAAACTGACCCCTTCCTTTCACCATATACAAATGAAAGGACCCCTTCCTTTCACCATATACAAAAATCAACTCAGGATGAATTAAAAATTTTAAAATAAAACCTCAACCTATAAAAACCCAAGAGGAAAACCTAGGAAATAGCATTTTGGACATAGGCCTTGGCAAAGATTTTATGATGAAGACTCCAAAGCAGTTGCAGCAATAACAAAAACTGACAAGTGGGACCTAATTAAAGAGTTTCCACACAGCAAAAAGCAAACAAACAAACAAGAAAAACCTATCAACACAGTAAACAGAAAACCTACAGAGTTGAAAATATTTGCAAATTATGTGTCCGACAAAGGTCTGGATGTTAGCATCCAGAATCTATAAGGAACTTAAATTTACAAGCAAAAAACAAACAACCTCATTAAAAAATGGGCAAAGGACCTGAATAGACACTTCTCAAAAGAGGACATACACATGGCTAACAAGCATAGGAAAAAAATGTCCATATCACTAATTATCCGAGAAATTCAAATCAAAACCACAATGAGATACCATCTCACACCAGTCAGAATGGCTATTATTAAAAAATCAGAAAATAACAGATGCTGGTGAGGTTGTGTAGAAAAGGTAATATTTATATACTGCTGGTAGGAATGCAAATTAGCTCATCCATTGTGGAGAGCAGTTTGGAGGTTCCTCAAATAACTTAAAATAGAGCTAGCATCCCACCTAGCAATCCCATTCCTGGGTATATACCCAAAGGAATAGAAATCATTCTACCACATAGACACATACTTGCATATGTTCATCACAGCACTATTCACAATAGCAAAGACATGGAATTAACCCAGATGCCCAACAACAATAGACTGGATAAAGAAAATGTGATACATATACACCATGGAATACTATGCAGTTATAAAAAAGAACAAAATCGTGTCCTTTGTAGCAACAAAGATGCTGCTGGAGGCCATTATCATCTGTGAATTTACATAGGAACAGAAATCCAAAAACCACATGTTCTCACTTAGAAGTAGGAACTAAAAATTGAGGACACATGGACAAGTAGAAGGAATAAGAGACGCCAGGGCCTACTTGAGGGTGAAGGGTAGGAGGAGGGTGAGGATAATAAGAACTGTCTATTGGGTACTGTGCTTATTACCTGGGTGATGAAATAATCTGTACACCAAAGCTGCGTGACATGCAATTTACTCATGTCACAAACTTGCACATGTATTCCCTGAACCTAAAATGAAGGTTGGAAAAAAAAAAAAAAGACACTACTATGTTTGCTGGGCATGAGAGGCAAAAAAGAATAACACATCGTCCGTCTCCTCTATCAGGAACACCTAGTCAGGAAGGCAGGCATATAAACAACGAACCCTAAGCCAAGGTGACAATAAGATATCATCAATGAGAACAAGGCCCTAGGGAGCCACCATGGAGTCACCAGCATCTCTTGCCCCCTAACTTTTCTCTGATTCTTCTCTTGCCCGTTTCCCCCACCATACAATTTCTTTTGTTATTATTATTATTATAATACTTTAAGTTCTAGGGTACATCTGCACAATGTGCAGGCTTGTTACATAGTATACATGTGCCATGCTGGCCTGCTGCACACATCAACCCATCATTTACATTAGGTATTTCTCCCAATGCTATCCCTCCCCCAACCCCCCACCCCACAACAGGCCCCTGTGTGTGATGTTCCTCACCCTGTGTCCAAGTGTTCTCATTGTTCAGTTCCCACCTATGAGCAAGAACATGCGGTGTTTGGTTTTCTGTCCTTGTGATAGGTTGCTCAGAATGATGGTTTCCAGCTTCATCCATGTCCCTGCAAAGGACATGAACTCATCCTTTTTTATGGCTGCATAGTATTCCGTGGTGTATATGTGCCACATTTTCTTAATCCAGCCTATCACTGATGGACATTTGGGTTAGTTCCAAGACTTTGCTATTGTGAATAGTGCCGCAATAAACATACATGTGCATGTGTCTTTATAGTAGCATGATTTATAATCCTTTGGGTATATACCCAGTAATGGGATCACTGGGTCAAATGGTATTTCTAGCTCTAGATCCTTGAGGAATCACCACACTGTCTTCCACAATGGTTCAACTAGTTTACACTCCCACCAACAGTGTAATAGCATTCCTGTTTCTCCACATCCTCTCCAGCACCTGTTGTTTCCTGACTTTTTAATGATCGCCATTCTAACTGGTGTGAGATGGTATCTTATTGTGGTTTTGATTTGCATTTCTTTTATGACCAGTGATGATGAGCATTATTTCATGTGTCTGTTGGCTGCATAAATGTCTTCTTTTGAGAAGTCTCTGTTCATATGCTTTGCCCACTTTTTGATGGGGTTGTTTGTTTTTTTCTTGTAAATTTGTTTAAGTTCTTTGTAGACTCTGGATATTAGCCCTTTGTCAGATGGGTACATTTGCAAAAATTTTCTCCCATTCTGTAGGTTGCCTGTTCACTCTGATGGTAGTTTCTTTTGCTGTGCAGAAGCTCTTTAGTTTAATTAGATCCCATTTGTCTATTTTGACTTCTGTTGCCATTGCTTTTTTTAAAAATTTTATTATTATTATACTTTAAGTTTTAGGGTACATGTGCACAATGTGCAGGTTTGTTACATATGTATACATGTGCCATGTTGGTGTGCTGCACCCATTAACTCGTCATTTACATTAGGCATATCTCCTAATGCTATCCCTCTCCCCTCCCCCCACCCCACAACAGTCCCCGGAGTGTGATGTTCCCCTTCCTGTGTCCATGTGTTCTGATTGTTCAATTCCCACCTATGAGTGAGAACATGCAGTGTTTGGTTTTTTGTCCTTGCAATAGTTTGCTGAGAATGATGGTTTCCAGTTTCATCCATGTCCCTACAAAGGACATGAACTCATCCTTTTTTATGGCTGCATAGTATTCCATGGTCTATATGTGCCACATTTTCTTAATCCAGTCTATCGTTGTTGGACATTTGGGTTGGTTCCAAGTCTTTGCTATTGTGAATAGTGCCACAATAAACATACATGTGCATGTGTCTTTATAGCAGCATGATTTATAATCCTTTCAGTATATATCCAGTAATGGGATGGCTGGGTCAAATGGTATTTCTAGTTCTAGATCCCTGAGGAATCACCACACTGACTTCCACAATGGTTGAACTAGTTTACAGTCCCACCAACAGTGTAAAAGTGTTCCTATTTCTCCACATCCTATCCAGCACCTGTTGTTTCCTGACTTTTTAATGATCGCCATTCTAACTGGTGTGAGATGGTATCTGATTGTGGTTTTGATTTGCATTTCTCTGATGGCCAGTGATGATGAGCATTTTTTCATGTGTTTTTTGGCTGCATAAATGTCTTCTTTTGAGAAGTGTCTGTTCATATCCTTCGCCCACTTTTTGATGGGGTTGTTTGTTTTTTTCTTGTAAATTTGTTTGAGTTCATTGTAGATTCTGGATATTAGCCCTTTGTCAGATGAGTAGGTTGTGAAAATTGTCTCCCATTTTGTAGGTTGCCTGTTCACTCTGATGGTAGTTTCTTTTGCTGTGCAGAAGCTCTTTAGTTTACTTAGATCCCATTTGTCAATTTTGTCTTTTGTTGCCATTGCTTTTGGTGTTTTAGACATGAAGTCCTTGCCCATGCCTATGTCCTGAATGGTAATGCCTAGGTTTTCTTCTAGGGTTTTTATGGTTTTAGGTCTAACATGTAAGTCTTTAATCCATCTTGAATTAATTTTTGTATAAGGTGTGAGGAAGGCATCCAGTTTCAGCTTTCTACATATGGCTAGACAGTTTTCCCAGCACCATTTATTAAATAGGGAATCCTTTCCCCATTGCTTGTTTTTGTCAGGTTTGTCAAAGGTCAGATGGTTGTAGATAGCGGCATTATTTCTGAGGGCTCTGTTCTGTTCCATTGATCTATATCTCTGTTTTGGTACCAGTACCATGCTATTTTGGTTATGGTAGCCTTGTAGTATAGTTTAAAGTCAGGTAGCGTGATGCCTCCAGCTTTGTTCTTTTGGCTTAGGATTGACTTGGTGATGTGGGCTCTCTTTTCGGTTCCATATGAACTTTAAAGTAGTCTTTTCCAATTCTGTGAAGAAAGTCATTGGTAGCTTGATGGGGATGGCATTGAATCTATAAATTACCTTGGGCAGTATGGCCATTTTCACAATATTGATTCTTCCTTCCCATGAGCATGGAATGTTCTTCCATTTGTTTGTATCCTCTTTTACTTCATTGAGCAGTGGTTTGTAGTTCTCCTTGAAGAGGTCCTTCACATCCCTTGTAAGTTGGATTCCTAGGTATTTTATTCTCTTTGAAGCAATTGTGAATGGTAGTTCACTCATGATTTGGCTCTCCGTTTGTCTGTTATTGGTGTATAAGAATGCTTGTGATTTTTGTACATTGATTTTGTATCCTGAGACTTTGCTGAAGTTGCTTATCAGCTTAAGTAGATTTTGGGCTGAGATGATGGGGTTTTCTAAATATACAATCATGTCATCTGCAAACGGACAATTTGACTTCCTCTTTTCCTAATTGAATTTCCTTTATTTCTTTCTCTTGACTGATTGCCGTAGCCAGAACTTCCAACACTATGTTGAATAGGAGTGGTAAGAGAGGGCATCCCTGTCTTGTGCCAGTTTTCAAAGGGAATGCTTCCAGTTTTTGCCCATTCAGTATGATATTGGCTGTGGGTTTGTCACAAATAGCTCTTATTATTTTGAGATATGTCCCATCAATACCTAATTTATTGAGAGTTTTTAGCATGAAGCGTTGTTGAATTTTGTCAAAGGCCTTTTCTGCATCTATTGAGATAATCATGTGGTTTTTGTCTTTGGTTCTGTTTATATGCTGGATTACATTTATTGATTTGCATATGTTGAACCAGCCTTGCATCCCAGGGATGAAGCCCACTTGATCATGGTGGATAAGCTTTTTGATGTGCTGCTGGATCGTTTTGCCAGTATTTTATTGAGGATTTTTGCATCAAGGTTCAACAAGGATATTGGTCTAAAATGCTCTTTTTTTGTTGTGTCTCTGCCAGGCTTTGGTATCAGGATGATGCTGGCCTCATAAAATGAGTTAGGGAGGATTCCCTCTTTTTCTATTGATTGGAATAGTTTCAGAAGGAATGGTACCAGTTCCTCCTTGTACCTCTGGTAGAATTCAGCTGTGAATCCATCTGGTCCTGGACTTTTTTTGGTTGGTAAGCTACTGATTATTGCCACAGTTTCAGATCCTGTTATTGGTCTATTCAGAGATCCAACTTCTTCCTGGTTTAGTCTTGGGAAGGTGTATGTGTCGAGGAATTTATCCATTTCTTCTAGATTTTCTAGTTTATTTGCGTAGAGGTGTTTGTAGTATTCTCTGATGGTAGTTTGTATTTCTGTGGGATCGGTGGTGATATCCCCTTTATCATTTTTTATTGCATCTGTTTGAGTCTTCTCTCTTTTCTTCTTTATTAGTCTTGCTAACAGTCTATCAATTTTGTTGATCTTTTCAAAAAACCAGCTCCTGGATTCACTAATTTTTTTGAAGGGTTTTTTGTGTCTCTATTTCCTTCAGTTCTGCTCTGATTTTAGTTATTTCTTGCCTTCTGCTAGCTTTTGAATGTGTTTGCTCTTCCTTTTCTAGTTCTTTTAATTGTGATGTTAGTGTGTCCATTTTGGATCTTTCCTGCTTTCTCTTGTGTGCTATAAATTTCCCTCTATACACTGCTTTGAATGTATCCCAGAGTTTCTGGTATGTTGTATCTTTTTTCTCATTGGTTTCAAAGAACATCTTTATTTCTGCCTTCATTTCGTTATGTACCCAGTAGTCATTCAGGAGCAGGTTGTTCAGTTTCCATGTAGTTGAGTGGTTTTGAGTGAGTTTCTTAATCCTGAGTTCTAGTTTGATTGCACTGTGGTCTGAGAGACAGTTTGTTATAATTTCTGTTCTTTTACATTTGCTGAGGAGTGCTTTACTTCTAACTGTGTGGTCAATTTTGGAACAGGTGTGGTGTGGTGCTGAAAAAAATGTATATTCTGTTGATTTGGGTTGGAGAGTTCTATAGATGTCTATTAGGTCCACTTGGTGCAGAGCTGAGTTCAATTCCTGGGTATCCTTGTTAACTTTCTGTCTCATTGATCTGTCTAATGTTGACAGTGGGGTGTTAAAGTCTCCCATTATTATTGTGTGGGAGTCTAAGTCTCTTTGTAGGTCACTCAGGACTTGCTTTATGAATCTGGGTGCTCCTTTATTGGGTGCATATATATTTAGGATAGTTAGCTCTTCTTGTTGAATTGATCCCTTTACTATTATGTAATGGCCTTCTTTGTCTCTTTTGATCTTTGTTGGTTTAAAGTCTGTTTTATCAGAGACTAGTATTGCAACCCCTGCCTTTTTTTGTTTTCCATTTGCTTGGTAGATCTTCCTCCATCCCTTTATTTTGAGCCTATGTGTGTCTCTGCATGTGAGATGGGTTTCCTGAATACAGCACACTGATGAGTCTTGACCCTTTATCCAATTTACCAGTCTGTGTCTTTTAATTGGAGCATTTAGCCCATTTACATTTAAAGTTAATATTGTTATGTGTGAATTTGGCCCTGTCATTATGTTGTTAGCTGGTTATTTTGCTCATTAGTTGATGTAGTTTCTTCCTGGCATCCATGGTCTTTACAGTTTGGCATGTTTTTGCAGTGGCTGGTACCGGTCAGTGGGTGCAGGACAGTGGGTGCAGCGCACCGGGCATGAGCTGAAGCAAGGTGAGGCATTGCCTCACTTGGGAAGCGCAAGGGGTCAGGGAGTTCCCTTTCCTAGTCAAAGAAAGGGGTGACAGAAGGCACCCGGAAAATCGGGTCACTCCCACCCTAATACTGCGCTTTTCCAATGGGCTTAAAAAATGGCACACCAGGAGATTATATCCTGCACCTGGCTCAGAGGGTCCTACGCCCACAGAGTCTCACTGACTTATAGCACAGCAGTCTGAGATCAAACTGCAAGGCAGCAGCGAGGCTGGGGGAGAGGTGCCTGCCATTGCCCAGGCTTGATTAGGTAAACAAAGCAGCCGGGAAGCTCGAACTGGGTGGAGCCCACCACAGCTCAAGGAGGCCTGCCTGCCTCTGTAGGCTCCACCTCTGGGGGCAGGGCACAGACAAACAAAAAGACAGCAGTAACCTCTGCAGACTTAAATGTCCCTGTCTGACAGCTTTGAAGAGAGTAGCGGTTCTTCCAGCATGCAGCTGGAGAACTGAGAATGGGCAGACTGCCTCCTCAAGTGGGTCCCTGACCCCCGAGCAGCCTAACTGGGCGGCACCCCCCAGTAGGGGCAGACTGACACCTCACAGGGCCGGGTACTCCTCTGAGACAAAACTTCCAGAGGAACGATCAGGCAGCAGCATTTGCGGATCACCAATATGCACTGTTCTACAGCCACCGCTGTTCTGCAGCCACTGCTGCTGATACCTAGGCAAACAGGGTCTGGAGTGGACCTCTACCAAACTCCAACAGACCTGCAGCTGAGGGTCCTGTCTGTTAGAAGGAAAACTAACAAACAGAAAGGACATCCACACCAAAAACCCATCTGTATGTCAACATCATCAAAGACCAAAAGTAGATAAAACCACAAAGATGGGGAAAAAACAGAGCAGAAAAACTGGAAACTCTAAAAAGAAGAGCACCTCTCCTCCTCCAAAGGAACGCAGCTTCTCACCGGCAATGGAACAAAGCTGGATGGAGAATGACTTTGACGAATTGAGAGAAGAAGGCTTCAGACGATCAAACGACTGCGAGCTACATGAGGAAATTCAAACCAATGGCAAAGAAGTTAAAAACTTTGAAAAAAAATTAGACAAATGGATACCTAGAATAACCTACGCAGAGAAGTCCTTAAAGGAGCTGATGGAGCTGAAAGCCAAGGCTCAAGAACTACGTGAAGAATGCAGAAGCCTCAGGAGCCGATGCGATCAACTGGAAGAAAGGGTATCAGTGATGGAAGATGAAATGAATGAAATGAAGTTAGAAGGGAAGTTTAGAGAAAAAAGAATAAAAAGAAACGAACAAAGCCTCCAAGAAATACGGGACTATGTGAAAAGACGAAATCTACGTCTGATTGGTGTACCTGAAAGTGACGGGGAGAATGGAACCAAGTTGGAAAACACTCTGCAGGATATTATCCAGGAGAACTTCCCCAATCTAGCAAGGCAGGCCAACATTCAGATTCAGGAAATATAGAGAATGCCACAAAGATACTCCTCGAGAAGAGCAACTCCAAGACACATAATTGTCAGATTCACCAAAGTTGAAATGAAGGAAAACATGTTAAGGGCAGCCAGAGAGAAAGGTCGGGTTACCCACAAAGGGAAGCCCATCAGACTAACAGTGGATCTCTTGGCAGAAACTCTACAAGCCAGAAGAGAGTGGGGGCCAACATTCAACATTCTTAAAGAAAAGAATTTTCAACCCAGAATTTCATATCCAGTCAAACTAAGCTTCATAAGTGAAGGAGAAATAAAATCCTTTACAGATAAGCAAATGCTGAGAGATTTTGTCGCCGCCAGGCCTGCCCTAAAAGAGCTCCTGAAGGAAGCACTAAACATGGAAAGGAATAGCCATTGCTTTTGATGTTTTAGTCATGAAGTCCTTGCCCATGCCTATGTACTGAATGGTATTGCCTAGGTTTTCTTCTAGGGTTTTTATGATTTTTAGGTCTAATATTTAAGTCTTTAATCCATCTTGAATTAATTTTTGTATAAGGTGTAAGGAAGGGATCCAGTTTCAGCTTTCTACGTATGACTTGCCAACTTTCCCAGCATCATTTATTAAATAGGGAATCCTTTCCCCATTGCTTGTTTTTGTCAGGTTTGTCAAAGACCAGATGGTTGTAGATGTGTGGTGTTATTTCTGAGGCCTCTGTTCTGTTCCATTGGTCTATATCTCTGTTTTGGTACCAGTACCATGCTGTTTTGTTTACTGTAGCCTTGTAGTATAGTTTGAAGTCAGGTAGCATGATGCCTCCAGGTTTGTTCTTTTGGCTTAGGATTAACTTGGCAATGTGGGCTCTTTTTTGGTTCCATATGAACTTTAAAGTAGTTTTTTTCCAATTCTGTGAAGAAAGTCATTGGTAGCTTGATGGGGATGGCATTGAATCTGTAAATTACCTTGGACAGTATGGCCATTTTTGCAATATTGATTCTTCCTATCCATGAGCATGGAATGTTCTTCTATTTGTTTGTGTCCTCTTTTATTTCGTTGAGCAGTGGTTTGTAGTTCTCCTTCAAGAGGTCCTTCACATCCCTTGTAAGTTGGATTCCTAGGTATTTTATTCTGTTTGTAGCAATTGTGAATGGGAGTTCACTCATGATTTGGCTCTCTATTTGTCTGTTATTGGTGTATAGGAATGCTTGTGATTTTCGCACATTGATTTGGTATCCTGAGACTTTGCTGAAGTTGCTTATCAGCCTAAGGAGATTTGGGGCTGAGATGATGGGGTTTTCTAAATATACAATCATGTCATCTGCAAACAGGGACAATTTGACTTCCTCTTTTCCTAATTGAATTTCCTTTATTTCTTTCTCTTGACTGATTGCCGTAGCCAGAACTTCCAACACTGTGTTGAATAGGAGTGGTGAGAGGGCATCCCTGTCTTGTGCCAGTTTTCAAAGGGAATGCTTCCAGTTTTTGCCCATTCAGTATGATATTGGCTGTGGGTTTGTCACAAATAGCTCTTATTATTTTGAGATATGTCCCATCAATACCTAATTTATTGAGAGTTTTTATCATGAAGTGTCATTGAATTTTGTCAAAGGCCTTTTTTGGATCTATCGAGATAATCATGTGGTTTTTGTCGATGGTTCTCTTTATGTGATGGATTGTGTTTATTGATTTGCATATGTTGAACCAGCATTACATCCCAGGGATGAAGCCCACTTGATCATGGTGGATAAGCTTTTTGATGTGCTGCTGGATTCGGTTTGCCAGTATTTTATTGAGGATTTTTGCATCGATGTTCATCAGGAATATTGGTCTAAAATGCTCTTTTTTTGTTGTGTCTCTGCCAGGCTTTGGTATCAGAATGATGCTGGCCTCATAAAATGAGTTAAGGAGGATTCCCTCTTTTTCTATTGATTGGAATAGTTTCAGAGGGAATGGTACCAGCTCCTCCTTGTACCTTTGGTAGAATTCGGCTGTGAATCCGTCTGGTCCTGGACTTTTTTTGGTTGGTAGGCTATTAATTGTTGCCTCAATTTCAGAGCCTGTTATTGGTCTATTCAGAGATTCAATTTCTTCCTTATTTACTCTTGGAAGGGTGTATGTGTCCAGGAATTTATCAATTTCTTCTAGATTTTCTAGTTTATTTGCATAGAGGTGTTTATAGTATTCTCTGATGGTAGTTTGTATTTCTGTGGGATCAGTGGGGATATCTCCTATAGCATTTTTTATTGCATCTATTTGATTCTTCTCTCTTTTCTTCTTTATTAGTCTTGCTAGCAGTCTATCAATTTTGTTGATATTTTCAAAAAACCAGCTCCTGGATTCATTGATTTTTTGAAGGGTTTTTTTGTGTCTCTATCTCCTTCAGTTCTGCTCTGATCTATTTCTTGCTTTCTGCTAGCTTTTGAATTTGTTTGCTCTTGCTTCTCTAGTTCTTTTAATTGTGATGTTAGGGTGTCGATTTTAGATCTTTCCTGCTTTCTCTTGTCCCCCTTCTTACAATTTCTTCTCTCTACACCTCTCAGAAGGTTGACTCTGACTGATAGTTTCCTCCCCTGCTTCAACCCCTCCAGAGTCTTTTTATTGTACATGGAATAAAATCTAAACCCACCATCCTGACTTACAAATGCCCCTTGAAACGGGCCTTGTCCACCTTTCTGACTTTCTGGACTCCATTATCTGCCTCTACCTCCCACATTGCTTCAGCACACTAACCTTTCTGATCCTTAAACAGCCCAAATGTTTCCCTTTTAAGACTTTGAACCAGTTTTCCCCTTTATCTATAATGCTCTTCCCTCCTTGCTCTTGCCATTTCATTATCTGTTTAAATATCTCTTGCTTGGTGAGCACTTCCCTGACCCATCCAGTCATAACCAGCTGTCCAACCGCACTCTTACAGCTCTTCGCTGGCATTTGTCCTATTTGGCTGTTGATCATCTGTCTCTCCCCCTAACATAAGATCCTTGAAGGCAGAGGTCTTGCTATGTGGTTCATAGTTGCAGCCCCACTGCTCTAAAGAAACAAGGCTTGGCACAGAATAGGAACTCAGTAAATGTTTGATGAATGATTGAATAATAGAAAGATCTCATAGAAGAGTTGAGAGAGGAGGTTTATTATTGCAGGGAACAGCATTTTGGGCAAAGGGAACAGCATAAATGAAAAGGAATGAGGAGAGTATTAATAATTAGATAGCTGCATGTACTTCCCAAATGTAACATTTGGCTCATTTCATTAAAATTGCTTGCTAAATTGGCTTTCACTAAAGACTGTCCGTTTCTGAGGGCAGGAGCCTCATCTATCTTGCTTACCACTGTATTTTCAATATCACGCTGAAGACCCATTGTGGGTTCGCAACCGTTATAATGAATAAATGAAGGGAATGAAAGGAAGAGCAGTGGGACACAAGGCTGGAAAGATACTGTGAAGCCTCATTGCTCAGGGTTGAATGTTGCACAAAGGAGGTTTTATTTTTGTCCTGTAAAAAATGGGGAGCCAGTGAAGGTTTTCTTCGTGTGTGTTTTGTTTTGGTTTGTTTTTGAGTTGGAGTCTTGCTTGGTCACCCAGGCTGGAGTACAGTGGCGCAGTCTCAGCTCACTCTGCTTCCCAAGTTCAAGCGATTCTCCTGCCTCAGCCCCCTGAGTAGCTGGGACTACAGGCACGTGCCACCACACCTGGCTAATTTTTCTACTTTTAGTAGAGATGGGGTTTCTACTAAATGCTGGCCAGGCTGGCCTTGAACTCCTGACCTCAGGTGATCTGTCCGCCTCGGCCTCCCAAAGTGCTGGGATTACAGACGTAAGCCACCACGCCCGGCTGTGTGTTTTAATTTAATAATTATGTATTTATTGTATAACTTTAAGTTTTTTTTGAGACAGTTTTTTGCTCTTGTTGCACAGGCTGGAGTGCAATGGTGTGATTTTGGCTCACCACAACCTCTGCCTCCTGGATTCAAGCGATTCTCCTGCCTCAGCCTCCCGAGTAGCTGGGATTACAGGCACGCACCACCATGTCCAGCTAATTTTGTATTTTTAGTAGAGATGGGGTTTCTCCATGTTGGTCAGGCTGCAGGAGGCTGAGAAGAAAGGTGTAATGAAGTCCCATACACCATTTACCCAGCCCCTTCCAATACAACCATAGCACAATATCAAAACCAAGAACTTGATGTTGGTACAATCCATAGAACTTATTTAGATTTCACCAGTTTTATGCATGAATCTGTGCGTGTGTCGCTTCATGCCATTTTATCACCAGCGTAGTCTTAAGTAACCACCATCACAATCAAGATATTAAACTTGACTGTTGAGTATCTTGGGAATGGTATTTGTTGAGTACCATTGCCACAAAGTTACCTTGTGTCACCCATTTGTAGTCACACTATGCCCCCATCCCTAATGCTTGGTAATTGGTAATATATCCTTCATCTAATTAAGTTATTTCATAATTGTTACATAAATAGAATTATGCAACATGTATCCTTTTAAGATTGGCTTTTTTCAGTCAGCTTAATTTCCTTGAGGTTCACCCAAATTGCAGTGTACATCAAGAGTCCACTCCTTTTCATTGTGCAGTGGTATTCCATGGTATGGATGTACCAGTTTGTTTAAGCATTCATCATTTAAAGGACATTTGGGTAGTTCCCAGAAGATCTTTGCTTAAGGGAATAATAGCATGCTGACTTTTTTCCTCTAAGGAGAGAATTCTAGAGACAGGGGAAGAAAGAATTTGATTAGAATAGTACTTAGTATAAAGAAGAGAAACAGAGACAAGTAGGAGGTCATTTCAATAGGACAAGAGGGAGATGAGGAGTGGAACTAAGGAAGTGGCAATGAGGATGGGGAAGAGCTCAGAGATTCAAGAGAGGTTTCTGAGGTAGAATTGACAGAAAGGAGTTGGCAGGAATTTGATGTAGAAGATAAGATAAAATAAATCAACAATCCCTTAAATTGTTCTGGCTTGGTTAACTGCAAGAGTGGTGATTCTATACACTATGATATGCTATTCAGGAAGACAGGGCATCGAAGGAGGAGAAAAATGAATCCAATTTTGAGCACCCAGAGTTTGAGATGCTTAGCAAGAGATCCAAGTGGTAGTGCCCAGAGGTTCAGGAGAACTACCCGGGCAGGAGAGGCAATGGAGGAGCTTCCAGAATACAAGTTATATTTGGATCTGTGGAATGGATGAGATTGTCTGAGGAGTGACAGAAAGTTGAGTAGAGAGAAAGCTGAGGACATAAGCTTGGGAAATCAACATGGAAGGCTATGAAGGCATCAAACACAATGACAGGGAAAACTGTTGTACTGGCCATCAGGTGATCATTGGGTGATCTTTGCACAACCAGTCTCAGTAGGCAGCATGATGGGGCAGGTGAGGTGATGAAGGAGAGATGAAGCAGTGGAGGCAAGTAGTGAGAGCTCTGAAGAATTTGGGAGCTGGGAGCTACCTGCAGGATCTCATCAAGATCCCCACATACCTGGTGCCCCCTGTGGCCATGGGGGCATACACCAATCCACCAGATGTAGCTTTTCTGCAAGTCCATATGTGATCCTGGGACCGGTCTAAGTTTAGCTCTTGACTAACACCTACTTGCCTTCTTGGGGATAGACTAGGAATGTTGCTTTGGGTCTGAGAAATGAACAGGTCTGTGAACTGAGGTCTTGATACTAAGTGAAGAGAGAAGAGATAAGCAGGGGCTGGCACAGCTGATAGAGTGAGGTCCCTGAGGAGTGGGAAGAGACTAGTGGAGAGATCTGTGTTGGGGGAAGAATCTTTGCTCAGAATCCGAAAGTAATTCCATCAGGATGGGAGAGATGATGACAGTTGTGATGTGCAGGAGAGAGGGGCTTTAGGCTACAACATTCTCAGTGAGGTAGGAGGTCATCGCAGTTGAAAGCAAGAAAGTAGGGGTTGTTCCATAGGTCAAAGAGAGTGATAGTAGCACCTGTCACCACCTGACATAATACTGGTGTGGCATTTGGCTGTTTTTTTCTCAGTAGGATATATCTCAGCACTTAGAATCATGCCTGACACGAAGTAGGGCTTGATAAATATTGAGTGGATGAAAAAATGAACACGGAGGAGCAAAATGACTGGTGAGCATCACAGAGGGCCCAGCTGCAGTGGAAATAATTCCTTCCTCTCCTGCTCTGGCCCTCACGTCTGTACTTGTCCCCTGCTGCCTTGTAGCTGAGTTATTTCTAGTCATGTCTTGTCCCCTGTCCTGCACTGAACACTCTTTGGGGCTAAGTCTGCAGCTGATCCATCCTGCTGTGTGCACAGGTGGTAGGTGTTCAGAAATTATTTGCTAAATGAATTGATATGTGACCCAAATGTTAAGCAGCTTCAGTTGTTGCAAATGCCCTTGTTTTGTTGCATTAAAATCTAGCTTCTTGTGACTTCTATATGTTAGTTGACATTTTGCCATTTGGAATAAATGAAGCCTGTTTCTTCTACCCTTAGCCAGCTTTTCAAGTGTTTGAATCATTGTGGCGTCTCCCACACTTTCCCAGGTAAAGGTGTGTGATTCTTGTGACTGCCCCTCCTATGACTGGTTTCCAAGCCCCCTGGCATTCTGGTCTCTCTGGGATAGGAACTCCCATAGACACCATCGGACTATGCCTCTGCAGGGACCCAGGCACTCTGGTCCAGCACATATAGAAATGGCTGGAGGCCCTGTTTTTTAATCATCCCTTTCCAGAGTTTTACAGTCAACCTATAAAACTGTGAGGTCCAGTGAATTCTAAAATTAGAAGCCAGTCTGTCATTGGAGCTGACTTCTATGCCAGCAATGAGGTACATCTCTGCCCAGCAGGACCTGTGACCCTGAGCCTGTTAAGCTGGTAGCACTTTGCAGAGAGTTGTACTTTATTCCTTTTTGGGAGGTGAAAGGCAAGTGCCTCTGCCATTCCCCCTCTGTATTTTAAAAGATGAACATAATAAATAAGGGGCCCCTACATCCCTGGGGTGGGGGGCAGACAGAAGCCTCCTTTTCAGCACTGCTGGGCAGAAACAGCTTTTGGTTGGAGTTGTTTTGCTGAAACTCTTCATTGTCTTTACCCCTTAGTACCAGGCTATGTGGGGAGTTCATTAGCTCATATTTCAGGTTTCAGTCAGAGGGGAAGAAACTGGCCTCCAAGGAGCAAGGCTATGACCCTTATAGATAACCCAGCAGGGTCTATTTTTAAATTTATTGAGAGATAATTAGCATCCAATAAAATACATAGCTCTTAAGGGCTCAGTGCGAAGAGTTTTGACAGTTGTAGACACCTGCTTAAACATTGCCTAAAGTAAGACACAGAACATTTCCATTACCCCCAAAGCTCTCTGGTGCCCCTTCCCAATCTAGTCCACCACCTTCCTAACTACTTTCTGCCTTCTATTATGATAGACTAGTAATTTCTGTCCTTGGGCTTCATGGAAATGGAATCGTACAGCATTCACTCTTTTGTGTCTTCTTTTGATCAACACAATGTTTTAGATTCTATCATGTTGTTGTATGTATCAGCAGTTTACTCCTTTTCAGTACCAAATAGTATTTCATTTCATGAACATACAATTTATTTATCTGTTTTCCTGTTAACAAATGTTTGGATTGTCTAAAGTTTTTGGCCATTGTGAATAGAAGCTATAATGAATCTCTGTGTGCAAGTCTTTGTGTGGACATATGGTTTTCACTCCCGTTAGGTAAGTATCTAGAGTAAATGCATGAACCTTAGAAGAAATTTTCAAACAGTTTTTCAAAGTGGCTATGCCATTTTACACTCTTCTGCCCCAGCCCACACCTGTCCCCAATAATGTATGTTCCAGTTGCCCTACATCTTTGGATGATGTCTTCTAAGTTTTATCCACTCTAGTGGGTATGGAGTGCTATCTTATTGTGGTTTTCATTTGCATATTCTTATAACTAATGATGTTAAGCATTTCTCAAGTATTTTATGGGTCATTTGTAAATCTCCTTTGGTGAAGTGTCTTTTCAGATCTTTGTCCAATTTATAACTTGGATTTTTTTTTTGTCTTTTCTTGATTTGTAAGATTTTTTTATGTATTCTGGATTTGTTAGATATGTGCTGTGTGTGTATGTAGCAGTGTGTGGCCTGTGGCCTATTTCATCTTCTTAATGGTATAATTTGATAAGGAGACGTGTTTAATTTTGTTTATATCAATTTATCAGTTTTTGTCTTTTATGGTTAGTGCTGGCTGATCTAATTTTCGTATGAGAGACTCTTCTTAGCTGTGAGAGACAGGAGTTCTGAGATACCAGAAAATTACCTGGAATAGTTGGGAGTGGAAGGGGCTGGTAGAACCTTCACCTTTTGAGGTCACAGCAGCCTTGCAGCTTGGTACTTGGAGAAGGCACAAGGTTAGTGAGTAATCAGGAGACCTAAACTCAAGGCCTGGCTCAGCCATTTACTACTTGAGTGACCAGTTTATTCATCTGTAAGATGGGGAGTTGTCGTTGAGCTTACCCAGCCCATATCACAATGGGCTTTGAAAAAACTGAAAGCCAAAAGGTGCTCAACAAGTGATCATGAGTATTATAATACTATAACCCCCATTATATTATAACCACCATTACATTATAACTACCATTATATTATAACCACCATTATATTGTAATATAATAACCACCACTCTTATTATCATCCACCCTACAGTGGTCCATTGTCTTGTTTGTGGTATCTAATTCCTGCTTCCCTGTTTCTTACTCCAGAACATTTCATGTTCAAAAGCATTTTTCTTGGGGAACAGGTGGGAAGGAAAGACTGCAAAACTTGAATCCATTTTTTGTCACTTGTTTGTATTTCCAGAAAAAACAACCTTGAGGTGTTTTAGTCCTATGGTGCGTGTGCTGGGCGCTGAGCTGTGCAGTGGGAGCCTCACATGAGAATCTGAGAGGTTCACAATGGATGGGGACACAGAATGAGCCCCCGAGCAGGCTGCCACGGGTGTCTAGCCTTGTGACCTCTCATGGCTGCTTTTGTGATTTTTGTTCCCCCTCTACATCCCCAATTTTTAACATACCTTTCACCAAAAAACTCATGTGATTGTAGGTAGTTTATTTTGTCAGGAGTCAGACCTTACTTTCCCACATGTTAACATGGATTCATGAATTACATACAACCAAAAGTAACTGCCATTAACCTGTGCAGTTTTATAATTGGCTTTTTAAAAATGTCGAAAATGTTATGGGTATCCTGCTCCTACCTCTGAGAAACCCGAGCAGTCTGAGACCTTGGAAGGACGGTCCCTGCTCACTGCAGTCCACGTCTTTGAGAAGAGCTACAAGAGGGCAATCTTTTTCTTTTTCCTTGCTTTAAAGTACAGTCCCTCTTAAGAGCAGAGGGGGCAGGCAGGGAGTCTCTTTATGATGCAGATTGCCGATTTGTGATGGGAATGATCTAAAGTTTTTGATAGGTGGAAAACATCCGCTCCCATGGTACCCAGCTGAGTTTAGGCCTAGAAGTGTTAAGCTGGACCATACAGGCTGCCCCTCCTCCAGCCAGACATGGGGGTTCAGCCTGATAGCCCAGGGCTCCTTGTTATTGCCCTACAGAGGAGTGTTCAAAACATAAAAGTGGTCTGAGAAAGGCAGCAATCTTGTTTTCTCATGTCTCCTTAGTTTATGGAGAAGCCAAAAAACTCCATAACAAATATTCAAATCCAGACCCTGTCTCCACCCTGAGATGGGTCCCCAGAGCCTGAGTGAGATGCGATATAATCTGGAGAGGGAGGAGATGAGGGCAGGATGAAGTGGCGTGGGAGGCGGGGTGGAAAGTGTAAGGTCCTTGCCTGGCTGTGGTATCAGCAGTGAGTCCAGCAAGCAAAGGGTGTTAAGGGAATGAACTTGATCCTTGAGGCCTCAAAGCAGGAGTGGTCTCTGTTCTCTGTGTATATCTGAGAGAGGAGTTGGGAGGTGAGGAGGCAGCAAAGATAAGAGGCCAGTGGCTGGGTGTCGTATTACAAAGCTGAGAGGAAGAAGCGAAGAAACGAAGAGCTCTCTCAAGAAAGATCAGAGAAAGCTGTGATTATGCAATATGCCCACTGCAGACAGACAGGCGGCACTGGCCCTTCATCTTTCTTAACCTCAGATTCCGAGAGAGCCTTTGTAGCCTGGTCAGTCACACACAGGCATGGGCTGGGCTGGGCTGGGGTGAACGTCAAAGCCCTGGCAGGTCTCACTCTGGATAAGAGGGTAAACCTGGGGAAAACCGAAGACATTTCCAGGTTAGGGAACTGATGCTCAGCCACAAGCCTGGTTATCAGTTTCCCACATTTAGCCCCCTTCAAGTTGCCCCCACCCTCCCAACCAAGTACCCCAGGCCTCTAAAGCTCCAGCACTGCAGATGGTAGCGTGTGCAGTGCCCCAACCTGCCACACACTTGGCAGGCCCCACCCAGACACGTGCCAACTTGAGCTTGGTAAAGAGTGAAACCGCAATCCATCCGGCAGTTGTTTTGTCTGCATGACACCAAACCAACCAGTTATTTACACTGGTGCCACACGGTAAGGAGAGCTATTTTGACTCAAACCAGCTCCTTGGACATTGTGGAGCCTGCGCTTGGTACCACATGGAAGGAAGGTAAAGACGTGTCAGAGACTTCCTCAGATTCAGGCTGAGTCAAACATCACTGCCCTGACTGAAACTGGGCACTGTTTTGGGTTGCCCCAATCTTAAGGCTCAAGCATTTTTGTTCACTGCCACAGCTCTGAGTATATGTATGGCCTCTGTGGGTGTCCCTGGGTGCCAGGAGTTACACAGAGCAGAAGGAACACCGCGCTGTGCTTGCAACTGAGAGGATTAGAAACCAAAGCAGCACAGACACAGATCCTCACCTAAGACAGCACTTGGCATTGGAGAAGGGTTGCAGGGAAGTGGGTCTCTGGGTCATAACCTGGACGTGGCTTATCCCCAGGGTGGGTTCTCAGTAAATGTCAAATCACCAGCTTCTTGCGTGGGCAAATGCCAGGAATAAATGTGGACCATGGAGAAGGCACGAGAAACATCCTGCCACTTCCTAACTGTGGAACCTTTGCTAGATGTGGCCTCTCCTGTGGTCATCTGAGGTTGGTCTGCTGATTTCTGAGGTCATGTCAAATGGCTCAGATTCTAGATAATAGACTTAATCTTTTGACAAAACCTGGAGGCAATGGAAGGGAAAGAGCTCCACAAAATACCTAAGATGTCTGATTAATTTTCCCTCACCCATGCACACCCATAGAGGGCTTTAGACTTTTGGACAGTTTTCCCATTCATCACGTTGCCTTTGAATGCTCTTGCCCTAGATATCCACAGAGCCAGCTGCCTGTCTCAGCGAGGCTTCTCTGGATACCTGCCCCCACATTTTACCAGCTCCATCTGCTCCTGCCACTTCCATCTCCCTTCCTGGTTTTATTTCTCTACTTAGCACTTACTATAATTTGATATACAAAATATTTTCTCATTTGTCACATTCATTGTCTGCTTTCCCCACTAGAGTGCAAACTCCATGAAGGTGGGGAGGTTTCCTTGTGCACTGCTTGTTCACTGCTGTACCCGGTGAGGACAGCACCTGGCACATAGCGAGTTATTAATACATACTTATCAAATGACTAAATCATTGTTTTATGTTCTTTGAGTAGATATGTTACAGATGAGGAAATTGAGGCAGAATGTATCTACGCTTATTTCCAATGACTAGGTTTGGGATAGGCTGAGAGCTGTGCTTTCTGCTGGGAAAGTGCTCTTTTCTCTTCTGAGCAACCATGTCCCTGAGAGGTGGGTCCAGTCATGGTGTCACCAGACACATACTTTGCCCTCAGATGTCAGCCTGGCTGGAGCACCATCTGGTGACCAGTGAGGAGAGCTGGGGGTCGTCAGTGGGCTGCTGAGGTGAGCGATTATGGGGAAGAACAGTTTCTAAGTGAACACAAAGGGTTGGACCAATAGTCTGGGCAAGTACCAGGGGAGCACTCAGCTTGCCAGGTCTGTGCCCAAAAGTGGAAGAGAGGCACTGAGCCAAAAGAGATGGTTAGCCTTCAGGATTGGGACTAAGAGTGGGGAGGGCTGTGGGTGGAAGCAGAAGGGCCACAGGAGGAAGGGGAATCCTCACACACTTTTTAGGCTTGGAAAGACACAACCACTTCAAGTCAGATGGGTCAGGCCTCACCTCTAGGAACCCTGATCTATTCAAGCTCTTAGTTCAGCCTCCTGAGTAGCTGGGACTATAGGTGCTTGCCACCATGCCTGGCTAATTTTTGTATTTTTTGTAGAGATGAGGTTTCGCCATGTTTGTTGCCCAGGAAGTCTCGAACTCCTAGCCTCAGGCAACCCACCTGCCTCAGCCTCCCAAAGTACTGGGATTACAGGCATCAGCCACTGCACCTGGCCGATGGTGATTACTTTCTTTCAACACTTGAAATATTTCACTCTCTTTTGCTTGCATGATTTCTGATGAGAAGTCTATTGTAATTCTTACCTTTGCTCCTCTAGGTATTTTTTTTCTTCTTTCAATATTTTCTTTTTGACTTTGATTTTCTGTGGTTTAAATATGATATGCCTAGGTGTAGATTTTTTGGTGTTTATCCTGAGCTTCCTTGCTCTGTGGTTTGGTGTGTGTCATTAATCATGAGACGTTTTCAATAATTTTTGTTTCAAATGCTTTTTTTGTTTTTCTTCTCCTTCTGGCATTTGCCTTATATATATGTTATACCTTTTGTAATTTTCCCACAGTTTTTGGATATTCTATTTTATATTTTTCACTGCTTTTTCTCTTTGCCTTTCAGTTTTGGAAGTTTGTACTGACATTTCTTCAAGCTCACGGTTCTTTCCTCAATCGTATCGAATCTATTGATGAGCTCATCAAAGGCATTCTTCATTTTTGTTACATCGTTACATTGATTTCTAGAATTTTTTTATTCTTAGAGTTTCCATACCTCTGCTTATGGTATTCATCTGTTCTTGCATGTTGTCTAATCTTTTGATTAGTACCAATAGTATATTAATTATAGCTGTTTAAATTCCTGGTGTAATAATTCCAACATCTTTGCCGTATCAAAGTCTATGGATGTGTTTCACATATGTTCCACTGACATGTTTTTCTCTCTCTCCATCAATACTGTAATCTCCTGATTGCTCTAATTATATAGTAAGCCTTAATTTTGAGAAATGTGGTCTTTTCACCTTATTCTTCTTTGCCAAGGTGATGTTAGCTATTCTAAGGCCTGTGCCTTTCCAATAAATTTTAGAAGAAACTTATCTACAGCTACAAAAATCCTTTCTGGGAGTTTTGGTTGGAATTGAATTAAACCTATATATCAATTTGGGAAGAGTTGACATATTTACTGCGTTGAGTCTTCCAATCCATGATTATTGCATATCTCCCCATTTATTTAGGTCCTCTGATTATTTTCACCAGCATTTCATCAATATTTTGTAATTTTCAGCATTCATATCTTATATATGTTTTCTTAGATTTATGCCTAAGTATTTCATTTTCTTTAATTATAAGTGGTATTGTCTTTAATTTTACTTTCAGCATGTTATTAGCATATGTAAGTATAAAATGATTTTTGTGTGTTGACCTTGTATTCTGTGACCCTGCTGAATTAAATTATTAGTCCTAGGAGGTACTTTTAAAAAAATTCCTTGGGATTTTCTATGACAGTCATGTCAATCATGACACTTGCAGATAGCTTTATTTCTTCTTTTCCAATCTGTATGCCTTTGTTTTCCTGCCTTAGTTCAGTGGCTATACCTTCCAGTAGTATGTTCAGCAAGAGTGGTGATAGCAGACATCCTTGGTTTGTTCCTAATCTTAGGAGAAAGCATTTAGTCTTTCACCATTTCAGTATGAGATTAGCTGTAGACTTTTTGTAGATTTTAAAAAAAATCAAACAGGCTGGGTGTGGTGGCTCATGCCTGTAATCCCAGCACTTTGGGAGGCTGAGATGGGTGGATTACCTGAGGTCAGGGGTTCAAGACCAGCCTGGCCAACATGGTGAAACCCCGTCTCTACTAAAAATACAAAAAATTAGCTGGGCATGGGTGGCAGGTGCCTGTAACCCCAGGTACTTGGGAGGCTGAGGCAGGAGAATCGCTTGAACCCAGGAGTCGGAGGTTGCAGTAAGCCGAGATCATGCCATTGGACTCCAGCCTGAGTGACAAGAACGAAACTCCATCTCAGAAAAACAAACAAACAAACAAACAAAACCAAAACACAAACAGGAAACAGGTATTTTCCTTCTAACTTGCTGAGTTGTTATTTTTTTAAATCATTAATGGGTATTGGATTTTCAAATGTCTTTCTGTGTCAATTTATATGATACTATGATTTTCCATCTTTAGCCTGTTGATATATGGTTGGTATACTGATTTTCAAATATTGAACCACTTGCATATCTGAAAAAAAAATCCTACTTGGTCATTGTAAATAATTCCTTTTATTCATTGCTAGATTGTTTGCTAATTAAAAATCGGCATCTAAATTCATGAGAGACATTGGTAATTCCTTCTTTTCTTCCTTTTCTTTTCTTCCTTTCCTCTTTTTATTTATTTTCATACGGTCTTTTTTGGAATTTGTATCAGGATAATACTTGACTTCATAAAATGAGTTGGAAGTGTTTCCTACTTTTCTATTTTCTGAAAGAGACTGTATAAAATTGGTTACAATTTTTCTTTAAAGGTTAGAATTCTCCAGTGAAACCATCTGGGCCTGGGAGATTTTTTTCTTTGGGAGCTTTACGTTGTGAATTTATTTAATGATTATGTGACTATTCAGATTATGTTTCATCTTGGTGGTGTATTGGTAAGTTGTGGTTTGTCAAGTTTATAAGTGTGAAAATTATTTGTAGTATTCTCTTATTCTTTTAATGGCTGCAGAATCCGTAATGATATCTCATGTTTTATTCCTGATATTGGTGATTTGTTTTCTCTTTCATTAGTCTTCCTAGAGATTTAGCACTTTTATTGATTTTTAAAAATAAGCCATCTTTTTAATTTTCTCTATTTTTCTATATTCAATTTTATTGATTTCTGCTTTGATCTTTATTATTTTCTCCCTTCTGCTTGTTTTGGATTAATTTTGCTCTTCTTTATCTAGTTTTTTAAGGTGGGGTCTTAGCTTATTGATTGGAGATCTTTCCTCTGTTTTAATGTAAGCATTTAGTGTTATAAATTTTCCTTTAGGCACTGCTTTACCAGTATCCCATATGTAGTAAATCCTCATTTAATGTCATCAATATGTTCTTGGAAACTGTGACTTTAAGCAAAAGGACAACAAAATGAAACCAATTTTACCTAAGGTTAATTGATATAAACAAGAGTTAAGATTCTTTGGTGTTTCTGGTCACAAACCCTGTCAAACTTCTAAATAAAGACCCAAATTATTCTAATATTGAATCTTGGAATAAATGCTAACTCTATATATTTAAAATAGATTAACAAACACAAGTAAGATACTTACTCAGTTGTTCCAATTCAAGGTCTCGGGTGGCAGGTGCCTGTCCTGGCAACTCAGCGTGCAAGGCAGGAACCATCCCTGACAGGATGCCATCCCAACGCAGGGCACACTCACACACCCACACTCATCCTGGGACAATGTAGACATGCCAGTGGACCTAACGGGCACATCTTTGGGATGTGGGAGGAAATCAGAGTACCAGAAAAAACCCAGGAACACGTAAGGACAATGTGCAAACTCCACACAGACAGTGGCCCTAGCTGGAAATCTATTTATTTATTTTTCTTCAGTGTTACAATGAAACAACATTGAATGAAATGACGTTATTCAAGGACTTGCTGTATTTTGAAATGTTGTATTTCCACTTAGTTTTGTGATTAAGAAAGTTTTCTTTTGAAACTTCCTCTTTGACTCACGGATATTTAGAAGTGTGCTGGTTTTCAAGTGTTTGGAGATTCTCCTGTTATCTTTCTGTTATTTACTTCTAGTTTAATTCCACTGTGGTCTCAAAACATAGTCCGTATGATTTCAATTATTTTAAAATGTTGATGTTTGTTTTATAGCCCAGAGTACAGCCTCTTGGTATCTGTTCCTTGAGCAATTGAAAAGAATGTCTACTCTGCTGTTGCATGGATTATTCTTTAAAGGCTGATTAGATATGATTGATGGTGTTGATGAAAATTCTTCTATATCCTTGCTGGTTTTCTGTCTAGTTGTTTTATTGAATTGTTGAGAGAGGAGTGTGGAAGTCTCCAACTATAATTGTGGATTTGTCTATTTCTCCTTTCAGTTACGTCAGTTTTTGCTCTAATGTTTTGAAGCTCTGCTGTTTGTGCATACACGTTTAGGATTGCTATGTCTTCATGGTGGATTGTCATGAAATGTTCCTTTCTGTCTCTGGTAATTTTCTTTGTTTTATAGGTCTATCTTTCCAGTTTTAATATAGCCACTCCTGCTTTCTTTTGATGAATATTTGCATGATACATCTTTTTCACCATTTTACTTTGAACCTACCTATGTTGTTGAATTTGAAGTTAATTTTTGTACATAAGAAATATTAGGTCATTAAAAAAAACTGTTCCTCCTCCACCCCATACACACTTAAACACTCTGTCAATCTCTGTCTTTTGATCAGTATATGTAGATCATTTACATTTAAGGCAATTCTTGATACCTTAGAGCTTAAGTATGCCATTTTATTATTTTCTATTTGCTTCCTCTGGCTTTATTATTCTGCTTTTTTTTGCCTTCCTGTGGGTTTTAAAGAATTTTTTTGGAATTTCATCTTGATTTATTTATTGCTTTAGAGATATACGCACTCCAAATATATAGTTTTTGTAGTAGTTGCTCTGGATATTACAATATACACCTGTAGCATATCACATTCTTCTGGTACCAACATTTTACCACTTTGAATGAAGTATGGGAACTTCATTTCCATTTAGGTCCTTTTATCTTTTCCACTTTTCAATATCATTGTTTTGAGTATCAAATGGTGTTATAATTTTTGTTTCAAGTATCAAATATGACTTATAAAACTCATGAGGATTGTCATACATACTCTTTTTTCCTGATGCTCCGAATTTTCCATCATTTACTTTGTTTAAAAAACTTTCTTTAGCAAATCTTTACAGGTATATCTGCTAGTGACACATTCCTGACATGTTCTTTCATCTGAGTATGTCCTTATTCTTTCTTCATTCATTGAGGTTAGTTTCACTGGATATGGGATTCTGGGTTGACAGTTCTTTTTCTTTCTGCACTTGTAAAATGTTGTGCCACTTCCTTCTGGCCTCCATGGTTTCAAATGATAAATCCTGTCATTTGAATTGTGTTTTCCTATAGGTAAGTTGTTGGTTCTGTTTTCAAGATTTTGTCTTTAGTTTCCAGACATTCAATTATGATGCCTTTGCATTTATCCTGCTTGGGTTTGAGTTTCTTAAATGTGTAGGTTTATGTCTTTTACCACATTTGTTCAGTTTTCAGCCATTATTTCCCTGAATACCGCTTCAGCCTTACGCTCTCTCCTTCTGGAACTCTGATACAAATGTTGGCTCTTTTGTTAGTGTTCCACGGGTCCCTGATACTCTATTATTATTTTTTCCAGTCTGTTCTGTTGTTCAGATTGTGATCAAATTCTATCAATCTGTCCTCAAGTTTACTGATTCTATCCTCTGTCATCTCCACTCTGCTATTGAGCCCATACACTGAGATTTCTGCTATTGTATTTTTCAGTTTAACAATTTCCATTTGGTTCTTTTGTATAATTTCTATTTATTTGCTCAGATTATATATATTTTTTCATTTAAGATAATTTGGTTTCTGACACATTTTAGAGTGGCTGTTTTAAAAATCATCTTAATGTTGACATTGTCTTTTCTCATTGAAATTGTGATTTTCCTGGTTCTTGGTGAGACAGGTGATTTTTAATTGTATCCTGGACATTTTGTCTATTATATAAGAGACTCTGGGTCCTACATAAATCTTTTTATTTTAGCAGTCACCTGTTTAGTTTCAGCATCCAGATCTGGCCTGTGTTTGGGATGGGGGCGCCCAATGACAACTTAATTTTCAGAGCTTTTGTGGTGTGTTATTTTGATGTTTCCAGTCAAGGAGGCCTCTTTGTTCCTCATGCGTGAGACAGCCCTGGCTGGGTATTTTTTGTGGTGGAATCCTTCCCATACCGTCTGGCTGTTTCAGTGTCTTTGGACAGGGGAAGGGAATCTTACAGCAGCTGTGGCGAATTAGCTTCCCAGGATGAGCTGCCTGTTGTGGCTGGGTCCCTCTTGCTGTTGTTGCCTGACCAACTATCTTTCAGGGGTGAGGGGAGTCTCAGGCCTAGCAGGAAAGGTCATTTATTACTAGTGGAGCTCTTATCAGTCCATCTTGCCGATGGTTCCTGCTTCACCCAGTGGTGTCAGAGGGCTTCTCATTGATCAGGGAAAGGGGCATTTCTGAGCTGCCCTGTGTTGCTAGTTGGGAAAGGTCAGGCCTTGGGTCACCTTCTTCTACTGGTGAGGAGATGTAAGATGCTCTGCCACTGTGTTGTTCCCCCACTCCTAGAGTTCTAAGCCAATTTCACTGCCTCTTATCCCCTTTCAAGATTCTCTTTTGGCTGTCTGTGGTATATTTACAGGATTTATAGTTGTACTTAGCAGAGAGGAGCATGGAGACACAAGTCTGCCATTTTGTGTAAAACAAATTCTCAGTCCAATTATTTTTATATTTATCATAGCTTTCTGATTTCTGATATGATTTTCATAAATTTGAGATACCCAGCCTAGACACAAGAATTTAGGAAAGTCTGGATGGTCCTCACATACATAATTTGTGCCTGCTTTATTATGAAAGAAGTATTGTCTTACCTATTTTAAGAGGAAAAGGTTAAAAAAAAAAAAAGAATCTGTGCTCAGAATGAGGTGCCAGCTGAATGTACCCAGGACACAAGATCTATTGTGAGCATTAAATGAAATACTACATGTAATACATTCGTCACCAGTGCATGCATGCAGCTAAGTACCCAATAAATGTTACTGTTCCCACTCTTCTACACAGCCCAATTTTTCCCTTCTCTGTTTAAAGTCCTTGAGGACAGAAATAATTTGTCTTTTTCACCTTGTATCACTAGGGTCTGGAACAGTATCTGGCAATAACAGTTTAGCTGCCTGAATAACATTTTATCACTTTTAACATTTTCATTTCCCCAAGCCATGCTCTTTCCTTCTTTTCAGTTTTTTTTTTTTTCTTAAACTCCCTGTGATTCAGTTTCTTGTACGAATTATAATGCTTACTTAAGGCTTTCCCCTCACTTGCTGTGCCATCAAGCAGGAAGCGTCTTGTGTTCATGTATTTTGATGATTCTCTGCTACTTAATCATCCCCTTCTTGGGAAAAGATACATATTTCCTTTCCTCCTGAAAATTTTAGGCAGTAACAATCACAGCCCCTGTGATCTGGCAGAGGAGGCGCATTTCTTTGTAGCACTCATTTTATTTGCTTAGAGTAATGGAACTACCTCACAAGTTTTTAGCTGATTTATTCACTTCATGGCAGATAAAGCGGCTGCAAGGAGAAGTCCTAAATTTAATTCCAAGTTACTGTAATCTAATATCAAGTCTAGACTACAACAACTAGCATTTAAATCTTAATGTCTCCAAAGCCTATATATTACCATGTAAAATTCAACTCCAGAAAACATATATTTTGCTTTAACAAATGTTAAAATATATTTTGATCTAAAAATGTGTATGTGTTCTGGTGCTGCACTATGTGAACACACATTAAAGAACAATGCTTGGCCGGGCGCGGTGGCTCACGCCTGTAATCCCAGCACTTTGGGAGGCCATGGCGGGTGGATCACCTGAGGTCGGGTGTTCAAGACCAGCCTGACCAACATGGAGAAACCTCGTCTCTACTAAAAATACAAAATTGGCTGGGCGTGGTGGCGCATGCCTGTAATCCTAGCTACTCAGGAAGCTGAGGCAGAAGAATCACTTGAACCCGAGAGGCGGAGGTTGCCATGAGCCAATATTGTGCCATTGCACTCCAGCCTGGACAACGAGGGTGAGACTCTGTCTCAATAAAAAAAGGAGCAATGGTCATCTAATAAATACCATCATCTGTGTGTACTTCATTGGGATTTCAAAACAAAACTTTCCAAATTACAACCCAGAGCCCTCTGTCAATTAATTCTACCATAACATCTGACACTATGGAGTGCAGAGCTAGAGTTCATGGTATTTAAAAACAAACCTGAATGCAACATGAAGGTGGCTCAGGAACGGGGTAAAATGCTAGCTCAGGGTAAGTCAGCACAGAATTCAAGAATACTTAGAAACTTACCTTATGAGAAATCCTCGCAGCCAGAATAGATGTTGAAGAAAGTAAACATTTTATCCAACTTTATTATTCAGGGAATAAAAATTATTTACTAACTTTTTTTGTAATGAATTTTTCTTTGCATTGGAATAGGCAGTTTGTAAAGATGTTCTCTGTGTCGTTAAAACATGAGCTGGCACTTTAGGAGGCCGAGGCGGTATCTCCTGAGCTCAGGAGTTCGAGACCACCGAGGGCAACGTGGTGAAACCCTGCCTCTACTAAAAACAAACAAAAAAATTAACCAGGTATGGTGGCATGCACCTGTAGTCTCAGCTACTTGGGAGGCTGACGCAGGAGAATTGCTTAAGCCCCAGAGGCGAAGGTTGCAGTGAGCCGAGATTACGCCACTGCACTCCAGCTTGGGCTACAGAGTGAGACTCCGTCTCAAAACAAAAACAAAAATGAAAACAAAACAAACAAAACATGACCTGGAAGGAAAATACAAATTAAACACTTGCCACCAAAATTTGGATGAAGATACATAATATTCTTAGAATTATTTTTTCAGCAGAAACAATATGGCATTGGTTCAAAGATATACATTAGATTCCTTCGAAGCAATGTCATGTCATGAAAAGTAGAAAAGCACAAAGGAGATAATCTCTTAAATTCAGTGCTTTTAGATGAAGACTCTTTTTAAAAAGTGAAATTATCATTGTGTTTCTGTAATATTTAGAGAGAAATCCTGTCTGGACTAAAGTAGAATATGTTTTTGAATCCCTTTGAAATAGTGATTAACTTTACACAGAGGGAACCTCAGCCAACTTTCAGATGGCAAAGCTGTAGTAGTCATGACAATCTCGTCATATTAAATACATTTATATGACCTGAAAAGCACTGATGTCTTGGTATGTGTCTGGGGTCATCTGGGTATTCTGGTTAGAATGGTCCAAACTTAGATAAGAAAATCTCACACAATCGAAGTGATCTTATGGTTCTTTGACATAAGAATACTGACTATATCTCATTCCAGGAGCACAGTGAAAACACAATGCTAAGAAAATGAAGACTTTGTATCTAAAACATGACTTGTTTGTTTGGTAAATAACATTAGAAAAAAAGTATTTTAAAAAACCACTTTTCCTAAAAAGACAGACTGACCACAGGTTCTGACTAAAAGCTCAAGGTTCAAATTCAACATTAATTATACTCTATGAAATTTCCAATGTTAGATTATACTCTATGAAATTTCCAATGTTAGGCAGAGATTGGGATCATTAACTAGAACAATTCTACAAAGGGCAATATTGCTCTGGTGGGATGGTTAATTCTGCAGAATGGCATTTTATTTAACAGACAGCATGGACTTCATACATATCCATTATCAGTGCCTTGAAAACCAAACAACTTTAAAAGTTAGCAGCAGTTTCTGCAAGTACAAAAATACACATTTATTACATAACATATGGTAGTAAAATTTGTCAAGATATATTATACAAACTCAAAGCATTTTAGATAAAGCATCAGTCTAATATATTATAGATTGATGGAGTATAATAAAATGACATATAGTCTGTCTTCAAATCATACAATATAATACTTTACAGCAATATTAACAAACTATTCACATTAAGAATTACAGGAGTATCTAAGGGAACACAGATAGTAGGAATGGTTATTAAAAAACCTCAGCAACTATTTTCTTCTATGCTTCAAATTGGGTGAATGATTTTTTACCTGCTAACATGAAAAAAAAAAAAAAGGCAATTTCTTCCAGAAAGACACTCCAAGCCGTTAAGAGCTTCATTCACATCTTGCAGTTCTGACTGACAGTAGTATGCCCTAAGGGAAAGGGGAGTCCCTGCTGACTTTATATATTATACCAAAAAAGATGCATATGGACACTTAGAAGTCTTAATATGTAGGACTGGTTAGTTATAAAGTGAAATCGACTTCACATCTGTGACTCAGATGGCCAGTGTCACGAAGTAGCTCTTTGGATACAGAGTTCTAAAAGATCATTGTAATGGTTAGCGCAAACAGGGCCATGTCCCCAAGAGGTAGGTAGCACCTATAGCTAATACTGAAATAACTTCTTCTATCTTAGAGAAAATATTTTTTCCCCTATAACTGAAAATGCAACCTTTAGAACAAAAAAGAAAGAACATTTGATATGACCATTTTCTGGTGATTAATAAGACAAATAATTTGGAATAAGCTAGCTTGTGAGAGAAAGGTCCATCTGATGGTGAACTAAAGAGTTTAAATAAATGGGCTCAGAGCAACTTCTTATAGGTTAGTAGTTAATGTGAAAGAAGATGCACATCCATTTTTAGTGCCATCCCTGCATACTAGTTGGCAAGGCCTGATAATCTATTCCTAGGTGACGAGATGTACTGCTGCAACCTTTAAGTCAAGAAAGCAGAGAAAGAAAGGTCCATGGATATAAAATAAACCAATGGGGTATAAGCCATGAAACATTTGGGGCAAAAATATGGAACAACGTCTGGAAGCAAAACCCAAAGCAAATGGCTGTCTGAGAAGGCCTGGCAGCCACTTTGTTGGGTATTCTATTGTGGGACTCCTTATAACCGGCCAACCTCAATATTGCTCTCTCAATTGCCAAACTACAAAAATCAGAAAAGGGATGATTTATAAGTATGTTTTTCTGGCTGACTGTAATCTAAGAGGCAGGACTGTGCAGAAACATTTCAGCAAAGTGATGCCATGGTTTGATCACATTTTAACAGCATTTGTGTAATTGAGAAAGGACAGTTGTTGTGGTCTTTTCCTCCATATTGAGAGTGAACGCTGTCAGGAGGTCACCTTCTAAATAGAAGAAGTTGCATTTCTGAAGAATGTTCCTAGGCAGAGATACCTTTGAAAGGGTACTGAAATGGGCAGCCATTTTCTTCTTTCTCCTCACAACTCTGTTTCCTGAAGCCTTGCAAAGCACTTCAACATGAATGAAAAAACAAACCGACAAATACAACCAACAAAACTGATATCATGGTACCCATGGCTTTTGAGTCACTCTGTTTTTCTCCACTCTAGCTGTAGCAATGGGCTGGTTCTTGGAATGATTCTGTAAGGACACGTGATTAGTAAGATCCCACAAAAATGGCCACTGGCTTAGATTTAGGGAAAGATTTTATATGATGTTCTTCATTACTGGACACACTTAATGCTTTGATTAGTGGCATTTTTCTTGCCTACTTATTAAAAACATTCCATGGAATGTAGATGGTTTCTCTGTACCCTTCCCCTCTCTCCTCAGGCCCCTATTCCTCATTCCTGATATCTTGGTCTTCTCAGGACATCAATCTCACAGACTGTTCCCATAAGTGCTTCCTCTGCAGAAGATGCTTTCTCTAGCCCTCTGTTAGTATCTCTAAAACCACATGACAGGACCAATCCCAACCTTTAATAAGAAAAAGCCTCCCAAACACTTAGGTGACAAAATTTTTAGCATAAAGTATTTGTCAAGTAGTCTCAATAAAGAGAATTATTTCGTTGTCCTAAGTATTAGCAATGATAATCCTTATGCTACCTCTCCCAGGTATCTTATACAAAGGGGTCATAATAATTATTGTCTATTATTATTAACCCAGTTCCTGTTCTTGTGGACATCAGATTCTTACTATGCTTAAATGTCTTTGGTTAAATACCTGTCCTCAATGTCGCAGACCACTGTAGGCCCTGAGTCTGGGCTGGTCGCATCCTCTAGAGTCCAAGAGCTGGCTGAGGCTCTTTCCCAAGGCAGAGAACCAGAAGAGCTCTGACTACCAGGCTCTATTTCCTCATGTGACTTCATGCACAGCTTAAGTCTGCTCTCCACCAGGCTGAATGGAGAGCTACAGTGTCTCTCTGAGTCCTGGAAGGGAGAAGAACTACACCTTTGGGCTGACTGCACAGGGGACAGTCCTTCAGCTGCCCTTAAGGGCAAGTCTTTTTGTTCCTCTTGCAGTGAGTTGGCTTCTGGAACACCAGAAGCATGTGGGGGTGGCTCTAAGGGTCCTTTTGGAGAAGCTATTTTCTCTTCCTCTGGTCTGGCTGCCTTTGCTTTCTTTTTGAGGGACCAGTTTTTCAAACTGGCCACACCATTTCTCAACCATGTGCTGGGATGAAGAGTTACAGAATGCATTTGTGAATGCCACTCCATGGTGTCCTTCTTTGTATAGGCTGGGCGGCTGCAAGCCTGCCCTGATGAGGGACCGGGCATTCCGGAAACATGGCTGGCATTGCTAAAGTCAGGAGAAAGGTCTTCCCGTTTTCTCTGAGCCTGAAAAGTGCAATCTATTGGAGAGGAAGTCTCAGTGGGTGTAAACACAGAGTGTTCAGAAATCTGAGAAAAAGCACTGTCTTGGGAGCTTACTGATGAGCCGGATGGGGAAGTGCCTGGGGAGGATAAGCTGGAATAGCTGGTCCTTGGGCAAAGGTTTAATCTTGGGGGTAAAACCTTCTCAGTGTTTTGGTTTGTGGCACTACTCTTGCCCACCTCAATCCCCATGACTAAACTCTGATTAATGAGCTTCTGCCCCTCCATTTGCAAAGACTTATGCCGTTTGAGATAATCCTCCTCTCCATGCAAGAGACCAGCTTCACAGCTGGTTTTATGTTGTTTCTTTGAATAAATTCCCCTGAGATAGGTCAGCTTGCGGTTCTGGTCTTCTATGTTGGGCTCTGAGCAGCGCCGATGTGTCCTTGGACCCTTGAGGGCATCTGCTGTGTGTGGTGGGGAGTATCCAGATGTATTCACATCAAAGGGCTGGTTCTTGGAATGATCCTGTGAGGACATAGGACTATAAGATGCCACAGAAATGGCCACTGGCTTAGACTTAGGGAAAAGTTTCACGTGATTTCCTTCACTACCAGACAAGCTTTTCTTCTTAGTGTTTTGAGTAGTGGCATTTTTCTTGCTGACATCAGTGCCTGTGACTAAACTCTGTTTAAAACATGTCTTTCCTTCCTCCTGGAGGGGTTGATTCTGCTTCAGATAGTCTTCATCTTTTTGAGAAAGAATTGCATCACAGCTGGACTTGCGTAGCTTTTTCTGATAAAACTCCCTGAGGTAGGAAAGCTTTGAATCCAGATAGTCGATGCTGGGCTCTGAGCAACGCCGGTGTCGCCTCAGGCTTTTTGCAGCATTTGCTGCAGCTGTGGACAGGTAGCTGGGTGTGCACATGGCAGATGGGGCCCTGGCATGATCCCGCAGTGGGATCTTTGTGTACACTAAAATGTTCACCGGCTTGGATTCAAGAGGCCGTTTCATTTGAACATCTTCATCTTTAGAATGGGCCAAGTCAAAGTCGCTTAGGGTTAAAAGGCCTTCCACCTCGGGCTGGTCAAGATCATAGTCACTGAGGGTTAAGACAGAGTCCATGCTTCTGCTCCCCTGGCCAAGTTTCTTTACCAAGTCACTGCATGGTGCATCAACATCCTCATTTAGCTCATTTTCCAAGCTGTCATAGGAGGAGTCATTCAGTTGAAAGCAAGAAATATCTGTCAAAAAAATTAAACCATGATTAACATATTTACTTACCACAAATATACTCATGCTTCCTTAAGAACAAATTCTCTTTTCATGTGAAGTGTTCAAATTCCTACTCTCAAGAAAGAGAGAATCTTTCACAATCTCAATTGTTAGTGAAGAATAAAAATAAAATTGCTGGGGTATAGGAGATTTATCTCAGTTCCTGACGAATGGGCTTTCCTTAAGTAAGATTTTCTTAAAGCAATGAACATGTCATATGACCAAGAAATGGTAAAAAATATGAAGGAATTATTGCCTTCATGGTATAAGTATATCCAGATTCTGAGTAAGACTCTGCCTTCTAACAGATTGCTAGTGGTTATACATACTTAACACTAGTCTTGGGGAAACCATTTACTAACTCTAACAATGTCTCTTTTACAAAGTTCCTTAATATCCATTACCTTATTTAATCTTTACAACAACCATAAAAGTTAGACATTATTTTCATCCACATTTTAGAGATAAAGACAATGATGTTCAGTGGCATAGAATAATTGGCCAAAGATAACATATCTAGTAATTGATGGCACAAGGATTCATATTCTGAAGGCAGCTGTATGTCTTCGAATTCAGTGTTCCCCCACCTCAAATGATGCTAGTTGTTTCAAACTGTTTCATAGCACACTAGAATTCTGACGTGTCTGAGGGACCAGTACAAGGAAGGAGAGGACAAAAAAAAAAAAAAAAAACATTCATGCCTCTACTACCTCTGGGCTTTCTACACCAGTTTCAACCATAGCAGTTCTATTATATATATTAGGGTTATTCATAAAGTTAAAAAGCCCATCAAAAAACATCATACCACAGCATGCTGCCACTAACTTATTGAAGGCTGGAACCTAATCTCTATATAGTTCTTAATCCCACTACACTGTTAACATATGCTGACCTATTGGCAGGCCATCTAAGGAAGGATCAAAAAGCCCTGGGCCCCATTGACCTGGATCAGAGGCTCCTTTCACTTCAGCTGCTGTGGGCTCCAGGAAAACCCCTATCCCAGCACGTTTACAAACAACCATGTGTCTGTTTCTCACAAAAACCAATCCAATTATTCACAATACCTGAGGCATTCTCTCTAGTGTCACATCTCACTGAAACCTCTCTGAAGAGGGAAGTGATTTCTTCTCCAAATATCCTAAGGCAATTCTCAATCAGAAATTGTATAAGCAGGGAAACCTGTAAGAAAAAGGACAAACGAAGTATTACTTTTCATATTACATGTTTATAAATCACATTTCATATATAAATCCTGATTTTTAACAAAAACCACATCTACCCAGAGAAAAATTCATATCGGCTTTAAAAGTACATTAAACAGTTTCCCTAAAAAACTATGATACTTTTAAAAGTAGTTTGGGCATAGAAATGTAATCAGTGGACTAAAGTTATTATTTGTAGCCTTGGCTTAATGTTTTATACCAATGGCTCTGTCTGTAAAATTGGGTAAAGAAATATATTTTGTTATTAAAATTTATAAAGCATCATTAGACAAAGACTTATAAAAACTATTTCTTGTGTAAAGGGCAGGCTGTCATAAGCTTGGGAAGAGGGCTCATCTGCGAGTGCACTGTGAAGGAGAAAGACAGCTAGAAAGAAAACTTGTGTTCCTGACTAGTCTCTACCCAGTCATTTGGCTGACAGGTCTATCCATGTACTGCCACCTTCTGATAGGCTCCCTAACAAGAGGTGCTTGCAGGGAAAGGTAAGAGTTTACTAGGGAGCTTTGTGACTCCATTGAGAGGTACTGGAACCTTTCTGAAGTTCCCTTGCCCCAGTAGCTGAGGCCAAGGGGCAGGAGAAATGTTAAGAGCAAAGGGAACTGATATCCCCACACCCCTTATTAACTGTCAGGGACTACAGGAGTGTGATTTCAAGTAACTACTGTATTATCACCGACTCCATTTTATTTTTAGATGAGGACACTGTGGGTCAATGTAATTTTGCCCAAGACTGTACATCTGGCAAGGGGTGGAGCTGAGAATGGAAGCTTAGCTGTCCTAGTTCCAAAGTCCTTTTTTTCTTTTCATTTAAAAAATCTTATCAGCTGCTTTATCACTTTATGGTTTTAATCATGGTGTTTAGCCTCCTTAAAGGGAAAAGAGAAGTAACCCATCTGCTATCATTTTCTACTTAACAATTCACTTTCCTATAGTCTACCAGTAAAGTCAAATTTATAAGGATACGGTATATTTAAGTTATTTAAGAAATCATCTTTTAGAATACCCCAAATTTCAGTTTCAAAACGGGGACTCAGTCTCCCAGGGCATAAAAATGAAAAACTTCATTACCTTTTTTGTAAATTCGTTTTCTAGTTCTGGGCTGGAGGAAGCAGGAGGCCAAAGAATACTTGGAGCGACACACACAGCTAAATTAAATGCAGTCATCTGATTGGATGAGGAATGTTGCTCAATGTTGTGTAACACCCCAAAAAGATACCTTAGGAGAACAACATTGGCTCTCGGAAGCTGGTCTAATAGCCTAAAGACAGAAAAATTACTCTTTAAGCAAGACATTTCATTCAAAAACTTGTAAAGACAAGCAACTCTCACTTTGAATGGGGAAGAGGGAAATCAAGAACACAGTTCAGATATGCAAGAGTTTCAGTTAACATGGTACCATACAAAGTGAGGACTGCCTGTACAGAAAGAAAAAATAGGCATTGGGAATTTATTTTTTGTTTTTGTATATTGTCTTCACATCTCAAAGAAAATGTAAAAGAATGCAGAAAAATATTTCATTAAAAAAAATGCTGCCTGAAATATTTCCCTGAAACTAGCATAATGCAAACTTAGGCCAATCCTGTAACATTTCAGAATATTTTCAACCAAAAACAACAAAAAGCTTTCTGATAAAATTAAACAGCAATTTATAAAATGCTCATTTAAGTAGCAACACAGAAATGCTGTCTCTTGGTAAGAACCCAAACCTTAGCTATCAAGACGTCCAGGTCCATTTTGAGAGCTTATGTTCTGCTCCACCAACTTCCAAGGTCAATTTTGTCCTAAATCTGTTTCATTGTATCACTTTCACATATCAGTTGCTTATAGTAGATTTTCTGCTGTTCTCATGTTGTAATTGATAAGGGATTTGTAAATGATCAGTCAGCAAAAATGACTACTATTATCCCAAAAAGTACAAATATACTGATATTCATGACTGTTTTTTTTTTTTTCAATAGAAACCTGCAACCTAGGGAAAAGATGATAGTCTGACTGCTGCTTGCACAAATAGCAGGGAGGCCTTTCTTTAGTACAATGGACTGACAATGAGCATAGTTTTTGTAAGGGTAAGTTATGAAGGACTTTGAAATAGAACAAAAGATTACTGGGTGTATTCAATGGAAAATAAGGCATCTAGCATAAGCTTTTGGGTTTTCTGCTTCTATGGGGCCCTAAGATTTTTCACAATAAGAGCTATTTTACAACTCTGTGTAAGTTATAACTAACTGATAGCAGTGCATCTAATACTTGTCTAAAGATGTGAAAATTCTGGTGGAGAGAACTGATTGATCTGCATCCCTGCCCTGATAGAAGAGGTCAGTTTTGTTTGTATTTATTTGCAAATTCACTTTAGCATTTCTGATTCATATATATATATGTGAATATATAAATGAATATATATGTGAATGTAAAAATGAATATATGTGAATATATATATGAATATATATGTGAATATATGTGTATATGAATATATGAATATATGTGAATATATGAATATATATGTGAAAATATATATGAATATATGAATATGTATGTGAACATATATGTGAATATATGTGAATATATATGAATATATGAATATATGTGAACATATATGAATACATGAATATATGTGAATATATGAATATATGTGAATATATATGAATATATGTGAATGTATATATGAATATATACATATGATTTCAACTTTGAAATTTCCTTTGAACTGGTTGTAACATCTTACTAATCTTACTAGTTCCCTCATAAACGATTTAAACAAAATATTTCACGTGTTTATATTTGCATGAGAGTCATAATTTTACCTTTTTCCAAAAAAATCCTTTAACAGCTTATAGGATATATAGCAACACAGTTTAGAATTTGATGCTCACTATCTGAATGGTTTACGCCAAACTATAATGGAAGTGGAGGTGGTATTTTGTTAAACGGCCTTGGTTTCTGGTGTCTTCAGCAGCTGTACTATGTTCTACTGGTGAAAGTTGTAGATAATTCATATATGAAAGTTGCTTAAGAAAAAACAACTGTACTAAACAAGCAAATGCAAGTAAATAATATTGAGATTCTTGAGTATTCACAGAACTAGAAATACTGCTTTTTGTTAAGGGACATTTCTTTCTTACTCTCTTATAATGCAGGAAAAGTCCAGGAATGGGGTAGTGAGTTCTACCAGCAATTTCCCTTTGCATGAGTAGAGACAGTACATCCTTTGTGATCAGACGTCCTTTGCAACTCTGCTTTTCCTTTCCACTTTTCAAGGACTTAACTGTGTCTTTGCTGTGCTTCCACAACACTCTCCAAATCTCTCTTCTAGCACTGATTGTACTGCATTGTAATTCTTGATTTTTCTATCTACCTTACCAGACTGAGTTCCATGAGAAGACAGAATAAGTCATTTTCTCTGTATGACTTCAGTTGGTGAATGCAATATATGATGAGTTGTCTGGTTAAATATTTACAAAAATTAAGATCATAAACTGAAGATTGGGTGTATAGTATTAGCTAGTGGACTAATGGATTTCAGCTCCTATCAGATTCAGGTATATGGAAGGTGTACAATCTTCAAGTATTACAATGTTCAACTATAAGATTAAGAAGGAAAACAATGACAAACTAGCATACATCTATTTTTAAACTGGTCCACATGGATATGACTTTGATAGCTGTCATTATTTTAATAAATAATCTTATAAAATATTTTTAAAGTATTTTTGAGACATGACCAAATTAGAATAATTACCTTTGAACAGTATTTATTTTCTCTTCATCATTTCCTTGATCCATTACAGAGACCCAGTGATCATAGAGATCTGATGAAAAAATACTTCCTGGAATATTTCGCAGAAAATCCTTAAATAGATGGAAAAACAAATATTTCAAATAATTATCCTCATGCCAAATATGTATTAGAGAAAGTAGAAGACATTTTGTTGAAAAGTTCCCTTACGTACTCTCTTCTGTGAACTACACAGAGCTCTGCGCCAACTCTCCATTGACTTGGGGACACAGAAACATGTACTTTGATTTTCTTATAGCAAAGATCATTGGGATAACTGGAGTCTTCATTACGGTGGGAAAATAAAGGACAACTCATTTGGCTGAAACTTACTGTTTGCATATATTTTAGTGAACTAGTATGACATGACAAGGTCTGGCAGTAAACCATCCTAAATTCCTTTTCCCCTGTCCCTTAGACAGCTAGTTCAAGGAAATGTACCAAGGTATCTATGAGGTTCATTGTCTGGTAGTCATTCATTGAATCATTCTACATGCATTTATTCATATGTGCCAAGCACTATTTAAGTTGCTAGGGATAGAGAAGTGACTAAAACAAAGTCTCTGTTATCTTGGAACTTTATATTCCAGTGTTATTAGTGCAAAATTGCATCAAGAGGTACTTAAGGTTTCTCCCTGTATTCCCTGTAGAAAGGCTCTCATATATTTGGAGAGAGAGAGCATTTCAGGTGATGGCTGGGTTCTAGAAATTTAGGCAGCACACTCATGCCTGATGTATGCTAAATAACATGTCCACAGGATATTATCCTTTTCTAGGAGACCCTATTCTACTGAGACCACTGGCAGGGCTGAGTGTGGTAAGGCTGAACTATGACACAAACAGGATATGACCAAGTATGTTTGTTGTTTAGCTTTTGTTGTTTGGCTTTTGTTTACAAAAAGCTTAAAAATAACAAAATTTGGTTCTTGTCCTGGTCCTACAGAGTTGATTCTAGGCCAACTGTCTCTCTTGCTTTTGGTATGGCATTACCAAGGTCAAGCTTGCAGTCTGATCTCCACCTTAGTAAACTTTAGGCAGAGTAAACTCAATATCGTGTTTAAGTACCATACACATGGTTGGCTACCCTCTTGCAATTTCATGCTTGCAACATGAGGACAGGTGAAAGTCTGCAATTGGGCAATTTTACCTCTTGCTAAACCAAATAAATAATTTTATCTATGTGCCTTATTGAAGGCAACACACAACTTGCTACTTAGATATCATGTTTATAACAGTAATATAGAAGCTGTGATAACTTATTGTTACAATCAGCTGATTATGTGGGCATCTTCCCCACTTGCTTATGAGCTCCTCCAGGGTAGGGACAGACCCTTCTTTGTACATGTCAATGCCAAGCACAGTCCTAGCCATAGTAGAGGACATTAGTGAACTGCTGCTAAATTGCATATGGCCAAATATTAATGGGAGCCAAGAGAAGGCCAATCAACTGTAACTGAGATTTTAAGATAATTTGAAAAGCCTCTTTGTAGTCATGTCACTTTATTACTATCCTTTTTTTTTTAGAATGTTTAACAAGAAGGAAGAATGACTAATTCAAAGTCTTCTTCTGTTCTATTATATCTTCTAGCAGAAATGTACCTGCATGCTTGTGATTCAGGTATATCATTACAAAAGTTACCTCTTTTTGGGTAAAGTGATTGAATTTTCATAATTCCAAACTAATTTTAGCTGCTGTACCCACTTTAGAAGTTAGATTTAGAAGAAGCAAAATCTGTTATTTCAAAATGTGGTAGGGACAATAGCTCTCTTTTTAAATCTCAGTGGAAAACATACTTATGATCTGTCTTGAAGAAAAACATCATTAACATCTTAAACCTACACTTGAAAGATAATAACTCGTAACATCTCAATGAACTCTCCCACAGCTGGAATAACAAGTTACGAAATACCACCATCATCACAGCTGAGAAGGATGTGAGAGCCGATTCTGCACTGCAATCACCAGCTCACAGCACTTAGTTGAATGTCTCCTCTCCTCCAAAACCAGAGCCAAGGCCATCAGCAGAACCCTCAAAGTCATCTGAGATGAGATACTGCAGGATTAAATATGAACTTTTCCTCAACGGTTTGATGGATCAAAGTTATAGTGTCTTCAGCAATTTTTATCCAATTATAGTTTGAAGAGTTAAGCTATAACTTAAACTTATATTTAAGCAAAACCAGCATAAGTGAAAAAAAGTACCACTTCAAAACAGATTCAAAAACAAGAAATAAAACAAAAGCTTAAGAACTTTTGCTAAAAATTATCTCCCTTTCTGCAACCACTTGGAAGAAAAGGGGGTAAAACATACGATAAAATGTTAATTACTTGGAACACATTTAACCAGACTTTTCAATCATTTGGATCATTTTTTGCCTTTTGGTTATTTTTGGACAAATATTTCTGCAATTTGAAACATAATTTAACTCTTCTAGAACCATGCTTCTTTGCAATAGCATCAATAGTTTAGCACAAAATTTTAAGAAGTGTAATGCTATGAAGAATAGCATAGTAAGAAATTTTTTTTTCTGCAAACATTCTTGGTTGTTAAAGAAAATTGTTTTAAAACACAAGCTTGGGAGGCCGAGGCGGGCGGATCACGAGGTCAGGAGATCGAGACCATCCTGGCTAACACAGTGAAACCCCGTCTCTACTAAAAATACAAAAAAATTTGCCAGGCGTGGTGTCGGGCAACTGTAGTCCCAGCTACTCAGGAGGCTGAGGCAGGAGAATGGCGTGAACCCAGGAGGTGGAGCTTGCAGTGAGCCGAGATCGTGCCACTGCACTCCAGCCTGGGCAACAGAGTGAGACCCCGACTGAAAAAAACAAAAAACAAAAAAACACAAGCTTTACCTTTGTAAACTAAGAGATATATATAAAAAAGGAAAATTTATCATGCATAAAAAACCTTGGCATATATATCTGGCTACATATTTTTACATATGCATATTTGTATTTTACATATACATATTTTTATTGTGTTCCAGGATTGAAGAGTAATCATAAACCCTGTGCAAAACAGATGAGGTGACCTTAGCTTCAACCCTCCAGTTCTCTTGCATGATATCTAATTGCAAAAATTTATAGCAGGGTTTAAGAGCAGATATGGCTTATTTATCCAGAAACATCTGATTGTATATAAAGTCATGAAGTAACATTCTGTAAGCACCTGGGCACTCAGCTGGAGTAGGGGTATGCAAGAATCTTCTTCACCATATTTTCCTTAACTTGGTTTTCACGTTTCAGCCTGAGATACAGGCTGGGGCCTTGTCTCGACCCCTAGCTCTGGTGCATTCCAATCCTTTGGGAGGTGAGAGCCTGACACAGGTCTGCAGAAGATACTGCTAAGGTCAAAAGCTCTGCTTAAAGCTCATTTTGACTGTAGGTGTTTCCAAAAATGTAGAGCATTTCCAAGAATGTGGGGGCAGAAAACATTTTAGAACTCTCTATCTCTGTAACCATGGATGTGACTTAAGTAACAATGGGTAAAGTGTAAGAACCACAAAGAATGCCAAGTGTGGTAAAAGTAAAGGAAAACTTAGATGCTGAAGTCATTCTTACTCCACTTTTAAAGTAAAAGGCATTAGGCTGGGTGCGGTGGCTCACGCCTATTATCCCAGCTCTCTGGGAGGCTGACGCAGGTGGATCACCTGAGGTCAGGAATTAGAGACCAGCTGGGCCAACATGGTGAAACCCCATCTCTACTAAAAATACAAAAATTAGCTGGACCTGGTAGTGCAGGCTTGTAATCCCAGCTACTCAGGAGGCTGAGGCAGGAGAATCACTTGAACCCAGGAGGTGGAGGTTGCAGTGAGCCGCAATCATGCCATTGCACTCCAGCCTGGCCGACAGAGTGAGACCCCGCCTCAAAAAAAAAAAAAAAAAAGGGAAGGCATGATGATTATGAAAATAAATGGAATTTTCAGTGATCTCAGCAATTTTTTATTTCAATTGTGAGCCAAATGTTTATTATGGCAAACTTCTTTAACTGTTTTCAAATGTCTAATGTTTATATTTGAAAACTGCCTTCATTAAGAAGGTAGTAAGAGAGTGAGGAAATCATAAGCAGGATGTCTGTTTTGGTATACGTGTGTTTTTTGATTTTTTAAACTTACAATTTTTATTTTTTACATGGAGTGGCAGAAGTAAAGATGAGATTAGTGTAGGATAAAAATTTAAAAAGCATATCTGATATGTCATATCATCAGTGGTAGCTTTTAAAGTCCAATGTTGACTTTGTGAAATGTTTTTATAACACTTTTTAGTGTTAAAAATTATGTTAATAAATCTATTATGGGTCTTTGCAAATAGAAATAATGTTCATAATGAAAAAGTAAAACACCCTCTTTCTCTAGAGCTACACCATGGGGTGGATAAAGGGATGACTCTTCTTACCTTTAAGACAGATGCTATCACAAAAATAGATTCACAGTCTAGGTGTACTTCGACTCCAGAATTCAATTTCTCTTTTAGTTCTCTGCAGGATTTCACATTGGCTGATTGCCTGAAGATACCTTTGGTGAGAGGTCCTTTTTGATTAAGAAAGAAAAGCATATCCTATGGGGAAGCAAAGGAAAATAAACAAAATGACACTTCCACACACACAAGGGAATGTACACTTGCCCTCTTTGGATGCCAGAGGCTAGGGTGCGCTAGGGTAAAAGCACTGAAGGATTGGAGCTAAATAAATGGCCGGAAAAATTAAAGTCACCTTTTTGGAGAGTGGAAGGGTGGTTACCAGGGGCTGGGGGTGGTGGTGAGCAGGTTGGGGAGATGTTGGTCAAAGGATACAAAATTTCAGTTAGGAGGAATAAGGTCACATGATCTATTATATAACATTATGATTATAGTTAATAATGCATTATATTCCTAAAAATTGCTCAGAGAGTGAATTTTAAGTGTTCTCTAATTTTCCTTTCTATCACTACGTCCTGCTTACAGTGTAAGAAGAGAATGGGTTTTGAAGACAAGCAATCCATGGGATCCAAAACCTAGTTATGCCACTTGGTTACTGTGTAACATTGAGTGCAGTACTGAGGCTTTAAAACAATTTGTAAACGGATGAGATGATGACATGATAACAACTATCCCCTAAATTTGTTGTGAAGAATAAATAAAGTGGCTAGACAAGTGTCTTGCATTTATAGATGCATAATATAGTATAAAATGCCATATATGTAGTATAGTGCTTGAAGGATACTAGAGACTCAATACTGCTTAGCAGTGATTATTTAAAATATCAACTGGAGATAATATAAACCCAGTGGCTTTCATCTGACCCACTCTATATACAAAAGATAAATAAATGCCAGGGAATGTATCTTTATGCGTGAGCACTTGAAATATAAATAAAACGGATTTAAAAACCTAAGTGTAGGATCGAGTAGTTTCTGTTGCTACAATGATCAAAGAAGACTTTGAGAACAATGTGACGTTCAAGAAAGGATTTGTGAGGAATAATGTGAATTCTGTCTGCAGGGCAAATTCTGCTTTATCTGAGAAAGCTTACGTGGCTCTTTCCTAGGTTATTTCTTCCCATTATGTCTTCCTTCTGATTTCACAGTAGCTAAATCAGATTTTGTTATTTGGAGGAATAATAGTGAAGATTCTTAGCCAAAGACAGTGGTGTCTATAATTTTTCCATTTGGGGACAGATTTACCTCGCAGAGCTCTCCTTTCCCAAACACCCTTTCCCATCAGTTTACAGACCAAAATGAGCCTTACCAAGACAGGTTTGGGCAGATTGTCATTCTCACAAATATTTGGCAGAGAAATTCCAAAGAGCTGTCCTGGCATAGGTGATGTTGGCGATGAGGGCAAGTTGTCCAGGTGAGTGCTAGAACCTCGCCAGAAGGCCCAGTTTATGATAGATCTTCTCCTTTTAAATGTCTTATGACCTGAATCTAAGGAAGAAGTGAGCTTATTAGAAAAATGAGTTTCATTCACTTAATCTTATTTCTATAACTTCCATTTTATGGTATGTTTGTTGCTATGGCTCAAAGAGAAAAAGATGCTAATAGATGGCTTTTGTCATTGACAATTCAACCTATAAAATTTCATTTCGTCTTTCATCTTATAAATGAAAGATGAATCAATGAAGGAAGAATCAAATGTTTGGGTTCTTCTCCCATCCAGTTTTTGGACATCACTGGTCTGTTTACTTGAATTTTGGCACTACATTTTCAAAGGTGAAAGACTCCCTTATTGAACTGTAACACCTAAAAGCAAAAAGCGTTTCATACAAACCCATTTATTTTCCCATTTTAAAGATGAGACTAAGCATACAAAAAGTTTAAATAAGACTATAGTTAAATACTGAGAAAAAAGAAAGTGTGAAGAGGGAAAGATAAAGGTGGAAGGGGAAGTAGGAGTAAGAGAAGGACAAGATGAAAGCGAAAAGGAGGAAGAAAAAGGAAGAAGGAAGAGAAGGGAAGAGGGGAGGAGAAGAAAGAGGAGAGGAGTTTTCTCTGTTAAGATGTTCGTTAGAAATAAAGAATCCTTTAGTATCTGACATACTACTCTCCTCTTGAGAACACAGACAGGAAGCTAATGTCCTAAAGTTTTTTCCTTTCTTTGCAACTGTAGACTTTTATGTTTCTTTTCAGTTCTTGACTTTAAAGTATGTTTAAGGAAGCATGGATGGACACAAACATGAAGTTTATAATCTACTAGGGATGAAGAACTGGTCAGGGTGAGGAGAAAAGCAAGTATGTTAATAAATATAATGTCATGAGGTAGGAACAAAGTACTAAAAGCATTCAGAGGAAAGTAAATCACATCTGGTCAATAAGATGGAGGGGGTGATCTTGGGGGTGTTTGCATTTGACTTGGATTTTGAATGAACAAGATTTTAACAGATAGAGCATCTGGCATAGTGCCTTCCATCTAGTGAGTACTCACTAAATTGTTATTAAACAATAATTGAAATTGAGGAGGGATTTAAGTAGAAAAAGACAACATGAAAAAGAACAGGCAGAAGAAAGGTCAACAGTAAGGTATGGTTTTATACCATAGTGCCGAAATGTTTTTGGTGTCATTTGTGTCTAATTTTAACATGAAGTTTAACAGGTTTGCTTATGATTTAATACATAAAAATCTCTTTAAGGTTACACTTTTAAAAGTGGCTGACCTCTCTGTCCCCTCTTCCCAACAGATACACACAAGTAACAACTATAAACTCTGGAAAACCAACCAAAATAAACCTAGCTGAAGGCACTAAAGAGTGAGCAAAAGAAGGTAGATATAGAGGTCAAAGTGTGACACTTGGATGAAGGGAATGGCATAGCACTGGGTGAGTTTTCTAATCTTACAGCTTTTAGGCTGAGGGCAGGCCCCCGGGTAATGGGGGTGACTAAAAGTTGAGAAGAAACCTACTCTTACTGGCTTGAAGAACTAGAGAAGGGAGACAGAGGTACCCACAGCTGGAAAGTGAGGGGGGATCCCAGAAAGAAGAAAGCCTGATAGTGGGAGCCCTAAATACTATGTATAAATTCTGCCCACATCTCTGGCTAACCCCTGAAGCTTGCATTCACAGGGGCAGATTCAAAAGAGCTTGCAATTAAGGTTGACAGAACTGAGATTTGAGGAGCCATAATGCCTAGGCAGTACCCACTCATGGCTTGACTCCATTTTCTCCAGTGAGAGTGCACGATAATTGGTAATTAGACTGGCTGTGTGGCATTGTTCCTTATGACACCAAACTAAAACAGAGATGTTCCCAACATTCCCTGATAATGAAATACTGAAGGATTGATCTTTTAAAGGACACAGTCAGCAGTCTTGTCATTTCAGTGGAATTAGACATGTTAATTCCAAAGAAGTCTTCTATATTGTTGGCTACCTTAGCATTTTATTTCCTTAGAATAAACTACTTAACTAAATATTTAAAAAGCCAAGTTGTGGGAGGATAAATAAGTAAGCAACGTTTTACCAAATGGCCTTAAGATCATCATCTACACATCACTTCCTTGAAATACAGCAAATGCATCATCAATGTACACACACAGGTATGTAAAGCTCTTTGGCTCTAGAGTCAGGAGCCTCTCTGCACTCCCAGTTCAGAAACTTATTTGGACCAAGTTACTTAACCTCTTTTCTTTCCTCAACCTTAAAATGTAAAGGATATGAATTAGCCCTCAAAGGCTTATTGAAAGGATTGTATAGGATAATCTATAAAAGTAGTACTTTGTCACAGTGATCTTGATGAATGCTGTCAAGATACCAATCTCCTCCCCACAAAGAGGACAACCTCTCTGCACCTACTCTCCATGTGGTTTCACAGCCTTCAGCAGGTATCCATATATGAAGGAATACCAATACTCCACTTAAGTAAAGCAGTTTCTTCCTGCTCTGACATTCTCAAACTCCATTATTTAAAAAAACAAAACAAAAACGGAAAAGGACCAACCAAAAAAAGTTCAGGACCAGATGGATTCACAGCCGAATTCTACCAGAGGTACAAGGAGGAACTGGTACCATTCCTTCTGAAACTATTCCAATCAATAGAAAAAGAGGGAATCCTCCCTAACTCATTTTATGAGGCCAGCATCATCCTGATACCAAAGCCTGGCAGAGACACAACAAAAAAAAAAAGAGCATTTTAGACCAACATCCTTGATAAACATTGATGCAAAAATCCTCAATAAAATACTGGCAAACCGAATCCAGCAGCACATCAAAAAGCTTATCCACCATGATCCAGTGGGCTTCATCCCTGGGATGCAAGGCTGGTTCAACATACGCAAATCAATAAATGTAATCCAGCATATAAACAGAACCAAAGACAAAAACCACATGATTATCTCAATAGATGCAGAAAAGGCCTTTGACAAAATTCAACAACCCTTCATGCTAAAAACTCTCAATAAATTAGGTATTGATGGGACGTATCTCAAAATAATAAGAGCTATCTATGACAAACCCACAGCCAATATCATACTGAATGGGCAAAAACTGGAAGCATTCACTTTGAAAACTGGCACAAGACAGGGATGCCCTCTCTCACCACTCCTATTCAACATAGTTTGGAAGTTCTGGCCAGGGCAATCAGGCAGGAGAAGGAAATAAAGGGCATTCAATTAGGAAAAGAGGAAGTCAAATTGTCCCTGTTTGCAGATGACACGATTGTATATCTAGAAAACCCCATGGTCTCAGCCCCAAATCTCCTTAAGCTGATAAGCAACTTCAGCAAAGTCTCAGGATACAAAATCAATGTACAAAAATAACAAGCATTCTTATACACCAATAACAGACAAACGGAGAGCCAAATCATGAGTGAACTCCCATTCACAATTGCTTCAAAGAGAATAAAATACCTAGGAATCCAACTTACAAGGGATGTGAAGGACCTCTTCCAGGAGAACTACAAACCACTGCCCAATGAAATAAAAGAGGATACAAACAAATGGAAGAACATTCCATGCTCATGGGTAAGAAGAATCAATATCGTGAAAATGGCCATACTGCCCAAGGTAATTTATAGATTCAATGCCATTCCCATCAAGCTACCAATGACTTTCTTCACAGAATTGGAAAAAACTACTTTAAAGTTCATATGGAACCAAAAAAGAGCCCACATTGCCAAGTCAATCCTAAGCCAAAAGAACAAAGCTGGAGGCATCACGCTACCTGACTTCAAACTATACTACAAGGCTACAGTAACCAAAACAGCATGGTACTGGTACCAAAACAGAGATATAGATCAATGGAACAGAACAGAGCACTTAGAAATAATGCCACATGTCTACAACTATCTGATCTTTGACAAACCTGACAAAAACAAGCAATGGGGAAAGGATTCCCTATTTAATAAATGGTGCTGGGAAAACTGGCTAGCCATATGTAGAAAGCTGAAACTGGATGCCTTCCTCACACCTTATACAAAAATTAATTCAAGATGGATTAAAGACTTACATGTTAGACCTAAAACCATAAAAACCCTAGAAGAAAACCTAGGCAATACCATTCAGGACATAGGCATGGGCAAGGACTTCATGTCTAAAACACCAAAAGCAATGGCAACAAGGGCCAAAATTGACAAATGGGATCTAATTAAACTAAAGAGCTTCTGCACAGCAAAAGAAACTACCATCAGAGTGAACAGGCAACCTACAAAATGGGAGAACATTTTTGCAACCTACTCATCTGACAAAGGGCTAATATCCAGAATCTACAGTGAACTCAAACGAATTTACAAGAAATAAACAACCCCATCAAAAAGTGGGCAAAGGATATGAACAGACACTTCTCAAAAGAAGACATTTATGCAGCCAAAAAACACATGAAAAAATGCTCATCATCACTGCCCATCAGAGAAATGCAAATCAAAACCACAATGAGATACCATCTCACACCAGTTAGAATGGTGATCATTGAAAAGTCAGGAAACAACAGGTGCTGGATAGGATGTGGAGAAACAGGAACACTTTTACACTGTTGGTGGGACTGTAAACTAGTTCAACCATTGTGGAAGTCAGTATGGCGATTCCTCAGGGATCTAGAACTAGAAATACCATTTGACTCAGTAATCCCGTTACTGGGTATATACCCAAAGGATTATAAATCATGCTGCTATAAAGACACATGCACATGTATGTTTATTGCGGCACTATTCACAATAGCAAAGACTTGGAACCAACCCAAATGTCCAACAGTGATAGACTGGATTAAGAAAATGTGGCACATATAGACCATGGAATACTATGCAGCCATAAAAAAGGATGAGTTCATGTCCTTTGTAGGGACATGGATGAAACTGGAAACCATCATTCTCAGCAAACTATCGCCAGGACAAAAATCAAACACCGCATGTTCTCACTCATAGGTGGGAATTGAACAATGAGAACACATGGACACAGGAAGGGGAACGTCACACACCGGGGACCGTTGTGGGGTGGGGGGAGGGGGAGGGAAAGCACTGGGAAATATACCTAATGCTAAATGACGAGTTGATGGGTGCAGCACACCAACATGGCACGTGTATACATATGTAACAAGCCTGCACGTTGTGCACATGTACCCTAAAGTATAATAATAATAAAATTAAAAAAAAAAAAACTGAAAAGGAAACTAAACCTTTTCTGAAGTCCAGGAAGGGGTTCCTGTACGTCTAGCAAGGTCAATCTATGCAAATATGTGTTTAATATATATGTGAATATGTATTTAATATATATGTGAATATGTATGTTGAGTACTTGTGCTCAGTCTTGGTTTGCTCACATTTACTTGATTTTTATTTATTATTATTATTTTTTTAGAGATGAGGTCTCACTATGTTTGCCCAGGCTAGTCCCTGCCTCGGCCTCCCAAAGTGCTGGGATTACAGGCGTGAGCCACTGTACACAGCCCTGATTTTATTATTTCTAAAACAATCAAAATAAAAACTTATTTGATTTTTTAGCTTTCACACATTTAAGAACAATGCTCTGTCAAAAGTTATATACTCAGCTACCCTATGAGTGTTGACAGAGGATAAAGTAGAAATTGAGTCCTTTACTTTATCATAAATACTCTCAGCTGTAGCCATGCCTTTTATTATATATACACACGGCATTCAACCTGAGCATTCAGGATTCCTCTGGGACTGAGATAAAAAAATTTCATTAAAGTTTACTTTCTTACAGAGCTTTTAATGCACACATCTTACTTTCTAAATGTCACAAAGGCTAATGAAAAAACATGCTATTGCTATAAGAAATGAGGGATGTAAATGTAAAGCAAACTAAATTCAAGTAAATCTAGTTTTCCTAAATGTCCCTGGCAAGATTCAAGTTAGTGTGTTTATGTGCTTAAATTAGATAATTGAATGTTAAAAATTACAGTTCTTAAAACGTTGTGTTTATATAATAATAACCATAACAACAAAAAATGTTAGAAATTCTACTCCGGCCATGTAACTCCCCAAATTAAGAATATCCCCACCTTTTTTTTTTTTTCCCCTAGAGTAAAAAACACAGAGGTGAATACAGGGTAAACAGAAAAAAAGATGTATCCCATATTTTACCAGCCACCATAAAATTTCAATTCCAGTTCAGTCCTAGGTCTGAAGCAGGTGTGGAAAGTGAACCTACTTTGGGCATAGAGCTGGGAGTTCAGGACAGACTGGAACTCCAAGAACTACTTCAGACTACACTCAGAAAGATTCCATTTAATTCCAGAACTCTTCCATTCCACTCAAGTTTTTCCATACTAGGGTTGAGTAAGCCATTCAATCTTTCATTTAATTTCTACTCTGTTCTATACACTAGACTAAGCCCTGGGATGAGTTCCTAGGTCTTAAGAAGGTCATTGTCTAAAGAGACAAGTAGATTATATAAACAGATAATCATAATGTGATTTTTTAATGTGTTACACTAGAGATGTGTATGAAGTGCTAACTGCCTGAAGGAACAAAGATTTCCTAGAAGTAGTGATGGCAGCAGCAGGCTGTCTGGAGTGGCTGCTGCCATCACACTGGCTGTAGTGGGGAGGCATGGCCAGGGCTGCAGGATTCATGAAGCTGGCAGGGGCTGGGGACAAGCAGGAGCCCTGCCCCTTCTGAGTTGGGGTGGGAGGTCCCTTGGGTGCCACTGCAGACACCCAAGCCATGGCTGTGGACCCTGGAATCCCTGGGCTCTCAGGACCTGGGAGCAGGTGGGAGCCCTGCCCTCCCGGGTGGAGGTGCAGCCATCTGAGTTGTGGTTGCAGGCCTGAGCTTCCTGCTCCACAGAGCAGGTAGGAGCCTTGCCCTCCCAGGAGCTGCACCTGTCCAAGTCATGGCTATAGACCAGACCTCCCTGTGCTCTTGTGTGGGGACAGGTAGGAGCCCTGCCCTCCCAGGTGTAGCTCCAGTCACCCAAGTCATGGCTGCAGACCCAGGCCTCTTGCTCCATGGAACATGCAGAGCCCCATTCCCCAACACAGCTGTAGCCAACCAAACTGCAACTGTAGACATAGACATTTCTGTACTCTTGGGGGTCCTTAAGGCCACCCCTGCCCTCACAGGCTCAGAAGTGCCTGCTACCATTGCCTGGCTTCTCCCTGCTGTCGGCACCTGCTCTGATCATGGTGCAAAGTTGGGTGAGTCCAAGTGCTGTTGCAGCCCAACCAGGTTGTGCAAACACTTGGGGCAGTGCTGACATGCCAGCCCCCTGGTGCCTTGGACTGCTCTGGACTTTGGGTGCCAACAAGCATAGGAGGGAAGCCGATCGGGGGCTGAGGCAGCTCGGTGCTGGCCTGCAGGTGCCCCTTTGCACCTATAGCCTGGGCGCCATGAACAGCAGCAGGAGGCAGAAAGGTTCCTGGGCAGAAGGGGGTGAGTCCCTGGTGAGGCCTACTTTTAGGCCAGGGAGGGCCTGAAAGCTGGGGGCCAGGCTGCCAGTCCTGTGGACTGGAGTGGGAACTTGTGGTGCTTTTTCTGGGTCTGCCCATGGCTGCCCATGGACAAATAAGCCAGCTCTTCCTCCCCTCTGAAGTCCATAAAACCCCTAGGCTCAGCCAGAGCTGAGCAGATGTCCTGACAACCAGCTGCAGAGAGGACTACCCACTACAGGGCCTCCTTTCTGCTGACAGCTGCAGATGTGAGGATGACCAGCCTGCAGAGAGGAGCTACCCACTCCAGGGCCTCCTCTCTCAGAGCTGCACAGATGATGAAACAACCAACTACAGGGAGGAGCTATCCTCTCTGCTAGGAGTTGGACATCTGATGGGATGACCTGCCTGCAGAGAGGAGCTACCCTCTTTGCTAGGAGCTGAACACTTGATGGGGCACCCTGGCTGCAGAAAGGAGCTGCCCCCTGTGGGTCTCCTCTGAGCTGTTATATTGCTCAATAAAGCTCCTCTTCATCTTGCTAACCCTTCACTTGTCTGTGTACCTCATTCTTCCTGGTCACAGGATGAGAACTTCAGATCCGCTGAATGGTGAGGCTGAAAGAGTGGTAACACAAACAGGGCTGAAACATGCCCCTTGTTCACCACACTGTGGGTGAAGAGAAGGAGATAAGAGCTGCAGCCCTTTGGGAAGCCCAGAGCTGGGAGCTCCCTGAGCAGGGCTGTGACTCCCACTTTGGATCCCTGCAGTTCCTGGCATCTCCAAGCTTCTGGGCACCACTGTGTTCCCTAGTGCCAGCCATAGAAGCTGCTGGTGGTGTGCCTGGTCTGGCTGCAGCCTCACAGACAGCCAGCACCCATGCAGGCACGTGCAGCTGTCCGCTACGCTGCAGCAGCTGGTATGTCTGACTGTGTGCAGTGTCCAGGCCCCATGCTCACTCACACACCCCTCGCCACTCCACACCTGACTTGCCTCTGGCAGGCATGGGATCCAGGCCAGTAGTAAGAGCCAAGTGCAGCCTGCAAGGCCTAGTGGGTGGAATGAACCCAGTGGCCTGAGCAAATCTTGGGCAAATACATCACTGTCCACAGAGATTTCTGGCCAGAAAAGTGACAACCCCAAGGTGTTGTAACAGTAACATATAACAGTAACAGTAACCTGTAACAGTAACATGTGAGTTGGGCCTTGAGGTCAGAACTTTGAATGTCTATATCTTGAACCTCCACAATTAACACTAGAGCTTTCCCACTGGGGATCAACCATTCCAAAGATGAGTTACAGATCTAAGTCTCAGAGGGGGCCTTCTGAAAGATGTATTGCTGTTATGTTTTCAGTGTAAGGCTATTTACTAGGAGGCCTTCTCTACACTGAGGCAAAAATTTGGAAAAAAGATTGGCAATGACTATCTCACCAATGGTTATGCTGGTTAACAGGGATATTTTCTGAAAGCTAATTAGAGAAAGCTTTATATTTAGTTTAAAAATAAAATATTGTTCTCAGACAATATTCTAACAGAAATCATTAGATTTTAACCCTTTGTTTCCAGGGGAGAAAACAAGACATGATTTTCCACATAAGAGACCATGCAAAATACCCATTTCCTAGGACTAAGCAATTTAAGAATTTATGAATTCTGTGCATTTTAAATATACAGGCCACAAACAAGTGTGAAAGATTCTGACTATAACAACTAGCACTTGGTAAATAAGGCAAAATTCTATGTTTATACTATGTGCCAAAAAAGAAGTATTAGCTCATTTTTCCCCATTAAAAGTCAGGTTAATAGCTGGTACATATGTGAACAAGGGAGCATGAAGATACTCTTGCTTAAATTAGAACATGACAAAGATGTAACAGGCAAAGGAATGAAGACAAGTCAAATAAGATGGCTCTGTTACTTGTGTGAGCTCTGTTATAAAGTCTGGTAGAATATAGAGTCTTTAGCTGGCATGTTTTTAATTATGCATATTTTAATCATTCAATCAGAGGGCACAAACTATGCTCCCTGGACTAAATCTGGCTTGCCACCTCCCTTTGGATAACTTGTGAGCTAAGAATGGCTTTTATATTTTTAAAAAGTTGAAAAAAATTCAAAAGAATAATATGTAATAACACATAAAAATTATATGGCATTTAAACTTTAGGCCAGGCATGGTGGTTCATGCCTGTAATCCCAGCACTTTGGGAGGCCGAGGCGGGTGGATCGCCTGAGGTCAGGAGTTCAAGACCAGTCTGGCCAACATGGTGAAACCCCATCTCTACTAAAAATACAAAAAATACTAATTTTTGTATTTGGTGGCAGGCGCCTGTAATCCCAGCTATTCGGGAGGCTGATATAGGAGAATCGCTTGAACCTGGGTTGCAGTGAGCAGAGATCGTGCCATTGTACTCCAGCCTGGGCGATAAGAATGAGACTTTTTCTCAAAAAAAAAAAAAAAAATTTTACTGTCTAGAATAGTTTTACTGGAACATGACCATACTCATTCACGTAATGTCTATGGCTGCTTTCACTTCACACTCAATAGCAGAGTTAAGTAGCTGTGACAGAGATGGTATGTGGTGCGCTCATTACTTTGCACTGCTGCTCAGGGCACTACAAATTGCAGTGACCCTGTTACATCTTGACTGTTTCAAGTGCCACATCTATCAGGATACCACAACATCTTTTTTTTTTATTACTTATTATGTAAAAACAATAAACGAAAAGTGGACTTCTTCTAATGTTAAATTTTTAAGGCAAAGTGAAATGCAGATAACTTTGTTATGGAACTAATGGCAAAGTATTATGTTTACTGTGCAATGAAGTAACAGCTGTGGTTACAGAATATAATATGCGTCAATGGTTAACAGACCAATGGTTAATCACAATGCTCCCAACTCATAAGAAAGCAATGGATCAGAAAAATAATATTTAAAATGAAATATATCATTACTGCAGAATTCCCTCACAAAAATAAAAATGAGGCTACAATAAAAGTTAAGTTTCTGAGTGGCTCATTTGTTAGCCAACCAAGGAAAGCCATTTAACCATTTACCAATGGTGAACTGATTAAATCTGTGTGCTTGCAGTAGATTAAGAAAGGGGTCCAGAGAAACTAGATTTAAAATTATCAGCCTTTTAGTGAGAATAGATAATTGAATAGTTGAGGGCATTAGGAGTAATATCAATAGTAAACTAAAAAACAAGGCAAGTGACTTTCCTTGGTTCTTGATGAGGTGAAAAATGTTACCAATACCACTAAGTTGTTTAGTCAAGAAGTCAATGCTGAGTTTGAAGTGACTGAAGAATTAACCTTGAATAGTCTGCATAGAATAACTATGGGTAAGAATATTTTCAAAGCATTTGAGAAAACAATAATTCAGTACAACCTGAAGTGGAATCTGCTGTGTTATATTTCATGGTAGTGAAAATGTGTGGAGCAGAAAAAGGTGTAATTTGAGAAATTTAGAAAGCTTGTGAAAATTTGAAGTGTTTAATACCTAAGATTATTCATTGTATTGTTTTGATCAGTGGTACTACCTGAAAAATATGGAAATCTATCAAGTGTTACTGGATCAGTACTGTCAACAGTGAACTTCATTTACTCTCATGGACTTAACTATTGTCAGTTCTGTGAATTTTTGTTAAAAATAGAGGCTAAAGGTTAGCCTGCATTATGCTATCACACAGCATTTCAATGGCTCAGCACTGCTAGAGTTTCACAGTGATACTTTGAACTCAGGGCCCAGATTGAACTTGTTATGAATGAAAAGAACAGCCTTTAACCTCTATTAATGGACACTAAATGGCTTTGAAAGTTAGTTTTTGCTGTAGATATGATGATGTTTCATAATAAATCCAACCTAAAATTACGAGGCAAAACAGTGCTTACATACAAAGTTTATACTGTAGTAATTTTCAAAACAATGAATGTTTAATTACAAGTAATATCAAGCTGCTTTATATACTTCTTGTGCCGTTAAAAGTTAAAACAAGAAGCAAGATCTTGATTCACATACAAATGTACAGCAGATATGTTTTTTGAGTTCAAACTACAGTTCGAGTAGTGTTTTACCAACCTCGATGCAAGAGCAAAGGCGATTTCCATATCTCAAAATCCATTTCACTATGCAACTGAAGAGCTTCCACCTAACCTTCAATTGAAAGTGATTATCTGCAATGAAATGATATGCTAAAAGGCAAATATCAAGAGAAGAATCTAACAAAATTCTACAAATGCCATATCAAAGAGACATATGCTCAACTGAAATTAGATGCTTGTAGGATGATATCAGTATTTGGCAGTACATATGTGAGAAAATATGTTTTCAAAGATGAAATTAAAAATTTTATTATAGATCAGAATGTTTGTACTCAAATTTTGATGGCTAGATCACTAACTTTAAATTCCAACTAAGTGAAATGTTATCCCTCCAAGAGAATTCACTTCTCACTCATTAGATTTGTATTACATAAAATTGTACTCAATTGTTGTTATATTTTGAATTCTATCAATAAAATTGGGTGGAAATTTGTTTTTTCTCCTGTTATGTAACACTTACATAATATCCTTGATTTGCAATACTGATCTGCAAAATTTTACTATCTGGCCCCTTACAGGAAAAGTTTGCTGACCCCTGATCTAAATCACTGGTTTCTAAAGCAGTTGTTCATCAAATTCTTTTGTATTTAAAAAGAAACAACATTAGTGGTTCACCTGTAATTTTTTACACAGGCATTCTGATGCTCTCAGCTGGCCCTTGGCATCACTGGTCTATAGTTATTCCATCCCTAATCCCACTTACCATGAATCATTTACAGCTGGAATCATCTAGCCTCACTTCCAACAGAGAGAAACTAAGCAGAGGATGCCTACAATTTAGTTGAGCAAGTCATTAGCAAAACTGGTTAAAACCCTTAGGATTCCTGATTTCTGATTATTATAAAATAAAATTGACAAGGGACCCAGAAAAATAGTTTTGAAAAACACAGGTGCAAAGGTAGAAGAGTAGAAGATTATTATTCTCCTCAGCCTAGTTATAAAGATACCCTTTATAAAAATCCCTGCCTTCATGGAGCTCACATTTTAGTGGATGGAAAGACCATGATATCTCAGTGTTCCCCTTTCAAAATTACCCAAGGGGAACGAAAAATTTTAGAGTCCAAAACCTCAATTTACTATCATAGAGAGATGTCTGTTAACAAATTCAAGGTAAATTTGTGTATCTGATGTTGGTAAGATGAGGGAGTCCCTGATGACTGATCTACTGATTTACCAATGACTTTGGTAAAGTATAAAGTTTGAGGCTAGGTCATCAACAGAAAGTGACAGGCTGGCTGTGCATGTGGGTGGAAATTTATATAAGACAGTTGACTCAAGTAGTTGAAGAATGCTGCACAGAAACAAAGTTAAGACTACTCTCACCCAGTATGAAGTGCCCATTAAGGTTGGTCATTAATGATACCAAGTAGTCTTGATGCTATATGATTTCTTCCAACAGTGCACAGAGTTAATCTAGAGATGAGATTTTAGGAGATGTATAGGAATGTAGAAAAGAAGGTCAAAGAAACAGAAGTTTTCTGCTAGACAGGGATGATCACGATAACCATGGAATTCAAGTTGCATAAGGAGGAAAGTAAAGATGGACACGGGGACTAACAGATGGAGAAAGTGGTAGAGTTTAGTAGGTTTGAAAGAAGCAGAAGGAATCTGGGCTTCCAGAGATGAAAAATAGAATGAACAAAGGCTGGCTGAAGAAAACAGATGGTGGTTACAACTCTTTTTGTCCAATAAAATGTCAAAATCTTGAATCAAAGGGGCGAACAGGAAAATAAGTTTCACAATGCTGTTACAATTTCTTGATGCAGTTGTTTCAGAAACTATATGTTTTAGTATGAAATATAAATTAGAAATTAACTTTAAATGCATTAGAGAAGGTTCTGTTTAAAACAATCTTGGAGTGTATTAACACTTAAGGCAAAAAAAACTCTTTACAATGAATGCTGATTTAATTCGTTTTCTCTAAGTTTAGATAGCTACATACAAATGTTTCTTAAAGTACAGTTGTTCTGCAATGAAGATAAAAACAGTATGAGCTAATTTTTCATTAATGCTATGTCAGTTGAATCACACACAGATGAAGAATTTCAGACTTTCCCCTGGCACTCAGATGATGCCAATAATCTGTCAAGTGGCAGGAAGGTAGCCTCAGTGATCTCTCAAGGTCTACGCCATCCCTTTAAACTTATTACACCTGGGGTCCTAATTTGGTTCTTTGCAAAACGCAAATCCATGGGTCTCCCAGTTGGTTCACATTGACAAAGGTAGCTATAGAAATTCACAATCAATTTTCTACTATCTCACTCATACTTTTTGATATCAATTTTCTTCTGTTGCTTATACAATCTTCCTTTCAGACAGAGCTTAAAGCTCAAACTTGGGTTAGGGCAAATTACAGTTCTCTTATATTGAAGATCACTTTTATCATTCCAGAGTCTTTATTGTGGGGTGGGTAAGAGACTGCTATGTTCACAGGGAATTCATATTAGATTAGTAGACTAAGGAGAGACTTCTGTAGAAATCATCTTAGTCTTCACATACTTATCAGAACTAGAATCCAGGTAGGGCATCACAATCTTCTGACACCCATCATTGACAGCCTCCTTTTTATAATGCAACCATTTAGGGAGAACACACAGTTGGAGTGTATTACAGTACAAAGAAGGCATTGAAGCACCTGCAGCACTGCTTAGTGCCTTTGACTCTGCAGTAGGAATAAGGTTAAAGGGGAAAGAATGGTGAAGAAAGAAGGAACAGACTGTATTGCTACTAGCTGCTGATTCCTAGTCAATCATGCCTATTGCTGATTTATAAAACCATCTTCTTCTAAAAGTCCATCTTTCCTTTTCAAAATACTTAGCAAATTCCAAGAAAAAATACCTCATCTGGCGGGAGGTTTGAGTCTTTGCCTTTGTACTAAATTTATGTTCAAGAACGAAAACTTTTGCTAGAAGCAACTCACCACTCAGTTGCTGGGCTGCAGCCAGGCGGCTGGGCTTCAGGATGAACTGGCACTGCATCTCTCGGGGGAGCTGTTCCATAAGGAAGGGCTCCTGGAGGTTGAAAGGGGTGGTAGAGTCCTTTGATCCCGGTGTCAGGAGTGCAGAGTCTCGAAGATGGCTCATTTTAATTCCATATGGATATTCATGCCCTACACAGAGACAAATCTAAATGTAGACTTCAGGCTGACTGGTACTGTTAGCATGTGTACTGCAAAATAGGAATGTACTGCAATTTACTCCTGGGACTTTTGGCATAAAGAATCCCTTTGTTTGACAGAATGATCATTTACACTCTTACAGTTGGAGACCAGTATGCAGGTGGTCCTACCAAAGTAGTTTTAAGGAGAGGAGGGAGAAAAAGAAGAAAAAAATCTTTAAAGATTATCTTGTTTGGAATGAATGCACAGATCAGTTTGCGAGTTCCATAATGCTGACTTTTCCAACACGTGCATCTAAGGATAACTAAAGGTATTCTATTGTCTCCTTTGACATTAACTAGATATATAAATTTTCAGCAAATACATGTCCTTGCTCAGTCTCAAATCTATGATTTAAAATATTTTTTCTACCTACCACAGAAGTATAAGGATCTATATATGTCAAGTATCACTATTATTAATATTATTTAACACAAGATGTTTGCCTAAAAACATTTCATTAATTTTTATTAGTTACACAGTTAGTTACTCAACTGGTTTGATTTATGCTTCCCTCTCACTGCTGCCCTCTGAGATTGATGTTCAGAGGCAATAATCAGAAGGAAGACTGCAGGGGATCAGAAACACAGAAACAGATGCAAAAACGAATATACAGACTATAAAAACTAAACCCTGGACATCTGACTACAACATGATTTTAACTCTTTAGTATTCTAAGTAATTACGTCCTTTTAGTGTAATCCTCAAATACCACTGATGTAGATTTTTTTTAAGTACAGAGAGCAAGTTCCCTTCTATTCCTGACTTATCACTAAATGTAACTCAGTGAACTCTTACTCTTCCTTTTCAGCTGGTCTAGGCATACAATGTCAATGTTTCATTAATATCAAGTACTACAGCAGCTTCCAGAGATTAAGACAGAAAAAGGCTTCTATGACAATAATAAAACAAAATCAATTTATCAAAACAGCCGGCAGCTAATCTACAATTGAGGTTTGCAGAACACATTAAAATAATGATTAAGCATTGCTGCTAAATCATGGGACAATAATGTCCTATGTCTCATTGTTTTTCAGTAAGAGCTAGTCAGGAAGCTTGGGGCTGTCATAAGCCTAAAAGTTACCATCTACATAGTTTTCATTAATATATTTTATTAAAACAATTATTTCAAGTGTTTGATTTTTAATAACTTTATTGCTCATTGACTATTACAAAAATGACAACATTAAAAACCTGAAACACAGTCAATTTTGTCTTTAGCTCTGTGCATGATCACTTTCTGTATTCTAAATCTGAGCATATACATTTGTAGAAAAGTTTGGTTTTAGATTACTAAGGTCACTTGAAACACTGAATTACACAGTTGTGACCTCATAGACAAATGAAAGAATTACATGAAATAATGCATACAATATGCTCTGCACGATGTCTGGCAGGTAGTAAGCATTTAAAATTGTTAACAGAAATTGTCATCATCATAATTATCATCGTCATCATCTCAAGATCTGGTAAAGATACTGTCCTTTATTTTAATTGTTCTATTTCTGTTAACCACACTGAATGAAATTACTAATCAAGAAATATTTTTTAGCTAATGACTTAAATAAGGTAAAATGGAACATATTTATCAATAATTCCTCATGACAAATGCTGGAAAATCTGACTAGAGAAATAGCAAAATAATTTAATTACTGAAGTAGCAGATAATAAAGACTTTTAGGAGTCTAAATGGGTTAATCTGATTTTCTTCATGATTCTTAGGAAGGTTCTGGGTACATAGCAGGTATTACATACTCACTGATGAATTAAGATGCATGGTTGTATTTTAGGTGGTCTTCCATAGAGGCACATAGTAGGTAAGGGAACAGGAAATTAAAAAACTGAATATGAAAAATAAATGTATGGAGAAAAATAAATACCAACACATATTTCTTTCTTAGAAAAAAATTTAAAAAGGTTTGGCAGGATAACTCTTGTTTGTCAAATGAAAAAGCAGAGCGAAAAGTTTATATTTCTCTTCCCAACTATACCATTAGCTGCTTGAATGAGGAGATATTATTTGTCTAGCACATAGTAAATCTTTGATAGATCTTTATTAAATGAACACCATGAAATTTCATATTTAATAGTATTTAAGCTTAGGACCATATGACCAATTCTCGGAGACACTTAGAATTATAATTAAAACACAATCAATGCTATCTTAGACTTTTGCAAAAACTTACCAATGAGTGGGTATGGAGCCTCTTCTTTGCCAGAATTGACCCACAACTGGTAATCTCTCTCAGAGCCCTTAGAGATAAAAGAGTTAAATGTCACAATAAATCTTTCACATTTGATACTTGAATGAGGACACATTTTTTTTTTTTGGTTATGTGTCCTCCCTCCTGCCCCCTACCCAGTGATAGTTAGAGATCCATGAACTGCAGTGGAATCAGGCCTTCACTATATAGGTAGCCTACAGAGTGTAAAATCATAGCTGGGCCCCTTTATAAAGGAAAAACAATCTTCCTGGCTCTTAAAGGCTAATCTCTTCTTTAGAGTCCTGACTTCTGCTATGTCCCTCCACTTCTCAGAGAATATTGGGCTTAACCTCCAACATGCCCCTGCAAAGACAACCTTATTATCCAGAAAACCACAAACACTGCTATGTCTATGATTAAAAAGTAATATCTCAAAGGCTGATTATTAGCTTAGCTGCTTCTGAGCAGGAGAATGACCAAGAAGCTTTGAGGAGATAAGTAATTGGCACAACCTCTACTGGCTTTAGTTTAGGCAAGTTCAGTCCTGGGGAAAGAAAGGACAAGAATTCTGTTCTAGAGAATAGGCCCAGTCATAGAAAACAATAAAATTGTTCACTAGCAGAATTATAATCCAGCAACATTATAAATCCCACTTGAAAGAAATACTAAATTATACAGATTTTGCTGAATCCTCTAGGAGGGATGATAAAACAGAAATGTTTTAAATGAAGCTAGAACAGGTAAGCCTGTTGGCAATATTTCATATCCTTGCCTTTAACTTCTAATAAAAAATCATGGCCCTGCCCTTACAATACCATAAAAACCATTCCACCCCCCATACTCAGTTTATCTGTTACTTCCTCCCTGCCCCATCCCTCCTAGTCAAAAAATGTGTTGTAAATAGGAAGGCCAATCTAATAAAAATCCTTTCTTTTTATATAGTGTCTGAAAACACTGTAATAATAATCCCTTAAAACTGGTATAACCAAATAGTCTCAATTCCTAGTTAAATTAACAGTTTTTTTTGGTCTGAGGAGATTAATAATTTTATCCAAAGGAAAAGCATAGATAAAAGAATGAATCATGTCAGTAATTCCTCTACATACCTCTAAAACTCTCTACTTTCTTCCAAAATATACTCATATAGCTTAGAAATTAATGGAGGTGACTACTTTACCCAGTGCATATATTTTAAATGTAATCAAATTTATATTACAAAATTTAACGAATTATTAGATTATCCCAAATTCTGGTTGTCGTGAGTTCTAAAGGGCTTACTATAGTACTGTGTATAAGCAAATCTAAACACAATAATACTATGGCATGTCTTAAATATGTGTCATGAATTGCTCTGGAAACAGTGCTCCTTGAATGATGTAACGTGACACATATTTAAGACATGCCATAGTATTCTACAATATTATTAATTGTATTTAGCTTTGCTTATATACAGTGTACTTTCATATTTACAGAGAATCTCACTCAAGGAATAGTGTTTTTAAGTGCTTCCTTTAGTTATCATCCTTTTGAAAGTCATTCCCTTTAATGAAAGTACTCATTGTGTGGTGTTTATACAACTGGTAGCAAGGTGATGAGGACAGTCTTCCAGTTCTCTTTCCTCTACCTCATCCTCAAATGTTCTAATCTTCTCCACTCCTAAAATTCTCAAAAATTCACCTCTATCGCAGAAAACAGAAAGGTACAAAGCTAAAAGTAAAACATGGAAGAATGTGGTGTGCACACTAAAGCTCTCGAAATCCATGATCTAATTCAAAGCTTGTCTTTTTATTTACCAATTTATCAGAGGTATTAGCCATATCATCCTTAGGACTTGTAGCCAGCTAATATGGTTTTATGAAAAATTCTATTACAGAGCAAATTCTTCAGAATTCATCATCCTAAGACTGATTGAGTCTTGGGATAATAACAGGATAATTATATAGGGGAAAAGTCAAATTGTGACCAGTAGCAAGGGGAGAAGGAGGATGAAACTTTATTAAGAAATTTATACCAAAAAAATTTTTGTATATATATACAGCATATATAATAAAATACATATTGTCACTTTAAAATTATAGTCCAATCTTATAATTTTCAGTTCACACAGATTTTAAAATAGGAGAACAGCAGCACCCATATATTAATCATATTAAAGCTTTACTGTTCTCATTTTCTATATTTTGGGGAATAAAATATGACTTTGGTATCTCTAATAATCAGCTGTCTTATGATGGAAGGAAAATACTTACATAAATTTAAATAATCAAAGTTTATTTTTAATTAAGAATGTCTAGCAGAATAACTTACAGTTATCCCTAGCATTGGTAATGACATGTTGATAACTTCATTCGCTGTATCTGAATTCATTACTGTTATAGTTTTAGACTGTAGAAAAAAAATAAGAAATATAGCTATAAAATAATGAATTTTAAAACAGGTTAACAAATAATCATTGTCAAATGATTATCGAAAGGCAAATATTGATTTCAAATGTGGACAAAGTCAAGCATAAGATTTAGGTAGAACACAAACCTTTGATTATAATTTGCTTTCATTCCCTTATAAATTATGCCCTCTAATAAAACATTTCTCTTAAAGGATGCATGGCTTAAAGAATATAAAAGCTTAAGCAAATAAGAAAGACTAAATATATTTCAGAGAGAGTACATGGACCCAGCTTCCAATTAAAAAAATAGATCAGTGAGGTTGGTCCTCTGTCTTATTTCCATAATTGTATTTCCATAAGGCAATGGGTAATAAAAAAAGGCAAGAGCTGAATCTCTTTCTATTTCTTCCTTAGTAGTGTTTTCACAATACGTTTTATTTCTTTGCGTGGTATAAAGTCAGGTTAGGTAAAATCAGGATAATAACTGGTTACAAAAGACATTTAAAGCTTAGAATTTTAAAAAGTCACTATTGGGAACTTTCCATGTGTCACACACTGTGGCCACTAAGATTTTAATTGTTGAAATCTTTGGAGGACATAAAACCAATGAGTCTAGAAAAAAGAAATGAAAATTTTAGAAAGCTCAATTCTATTATCAACTCTGCCAATGAATACAATATCTGTAATAGCTCTGTGCTAAACTATATTGAATACTTTTACTTAAAAATAGACAATTTGCAGCAAACAGTAAAAGAGTTAACAAGCTCATGCCTGTAATCCTAGCACTTTGGGAGGCCGAGGTGGGCGGGTCATGAGGTCAGGAGATCGAGACCATCCTGGCTGACATGGTGAAACCCCGTCTCTACTAAAAAAAAAAAATACAAAAAAAATTTAGCTGGGCGTAGTGGTGGGGGCCTGTAGTCCCAGCTACTCGGGAGGCTGAGGCAGGAGAATGGCTTGAACCCGGGAGGCGGAGCTTGCAGTGAGCCGAGATCGCGCCACTGCACTCCAGCCTGGGCGACAGAGCGAGACTCCATCTCAAAAAAAAAACAAAAAACAAACAAACAAACAAAAAGAGTTAACAAGATTCTGAGATATCTATAGAGATCGCTGAATTCCAAAATACATTATTTAAATATAAAACAATGCTACATTGTAAAAAAAACTTGCTACATACATAGGTTTTACACATGAGAATTATAAGATTAAATCAGCAATTAGGGCTGTGTCCCTGACAGAGAAGGATTAAATAGCACAAAAAAGTAGCATAAATACAAAAATGATATAAAAATAAAGGCAAATGAAATCTGATAATTCATTATTTATCCTTCCATTAACAGAATTTCTTCTCTATGAGTGAATTATTTGATATGACAAATTGCCTCTAAAAATTGTTTAATTGAATTTTAATTTAAAAAAGCATTTAAAATGCACAATTTCAAACTGTGTTCCTGGTAGCCCCAAGGATTGTGCAAAATTGTCTCAGAGTGAAACAGGGAGTCTTTGGAGCACTCAACCCAGTGTCTGTCTTCTACCAGAGTGTCATAGGTATGAGACATACTGGGCTTTAAATTGAGAGATAATTTTTAAAAAGGCTTCTGATTTTAAAAAAGTCTAAAATTTTTTCCATTTAATTTAAAGAAACTCTCCCATGAAGTCTTATAACGTGAAGAATCTATCCTCCCAATAACCTGGTTTCTAAGATAATAGTTTTTCTTAATACTAGGCACATATGTTCAAAACATAATTATAGAAAGTATATTTTTTCCTACATGCCTTTCCAGTATACAAAACAAATGAATTTCAGCAGATAGAACTCTTTGGCTAGTAAACAAATAACAGACAAAACTGAAAATGTGGCAATTTTGTTCCATATTAGCATAATTTACTGACAAGGTGTGTATAACTAGACGGCAAAGACAAAGAATGCTTCCCACACATGCACTCCTATTTGGGGGAATCACTCTGGAGGCAGGGCTCCCTGAATGAGAGTCTTGTTATGAAAGCTACTTTAGACAGCAAAGGACAGAGTACGTCACATCATCCTTGACTTAACCAGGGTACTAGTGATAGAAACAGAGCACCCAACCTGACCATATATCTTATCTTCTCTTCCAAAATGACAGTGGGACATCAGTCCTTTCTCAAGTACACACTTTCCATATACCGAAAAGAAAGTGTCAAAAAAAATTTAAGGGATTTTCCAGGAAATCCTGAATGTAACCAACTGCCACAACTGAATCAAAGCAGACAGAAAAAAACAGTGTTTTTGTTTTGTTTTGTTTTACATTGCTACAGGAGATCTCTGTAGTCTCATACTATAAAAATTTGAGTATTTCCCTCAAGCAGTGACATCTGGCATTCAGGAGTTGGTCAGAACATTTGCATAACTTTTGCTTTTGCCCAAAACATAACTATTTTGCACTACATATTTTTCCACACACAAATAAAACTATTCTGTGTGATCTAGAGCTGCTGTGAAGTATGACAGTTAATAGTATAAAATATTCATAAGTTTTCATATTTTTCATAATTGATAACATTTATCTCTTGTACTATGATTTCAGCCATCAAATTATACATAATAGCTGGGGTTAAAGACTTAATATTTATTTGACCAATATGATAAACACTGTGAAGTAGTAAAATGCTGATCCCTTAAAAATGTCACCTCTCCTAGATCATCCTCCTATTAACCTAAGGGATTCAATCCCTAAAAACTTAAAGAATGAAGAACTTTTCAAAACCACTTTCTGCTTAAGAGTGACAAGTTGGGAAAAAAATTGCTTAATAATAATAGGAAATACTCCTTGTGGAAACAGCTTTACTACAAGCCTCTGCAGCTGCTATTGAAAGGATTCAGAGAAATATTCATGCCAGAGGGAGGACAGAGACATGTCACAAGCAATGTTCTTTCCAAGCGTAAAAGTTTAATACCGTAGTTCATATGAATTTCTCTTGCTTCACTTTCTCTAGGGTTTATTTTTCATATATATGAAGACATACATATAACCAGGAAAATGCATTTTCCCCCTGTGGTATTTCTAAATGCCTACCTTCCATAGCACATACACAGTTAGCCTGCCTGCCTGCCTGCTCTCTCTCTTCTTATCCGTAGTGTTCTGTCTTATGCAGGGACTTGGAATTTAATTTTCTGGCTTAGAAACACTTACGTAGGCACAATTCCCAATGTCCTTGGCGAAGATTTTGAGGGGAATGCTCTTCGGGTAGTCCTTTTCTTTCTCTAGATTGATGTATCTAATCAAATGCAACAGCAACCCAAAACAACACTGAGTCAGATGGAATTCGCTAATGGCTTATTTTAAAAATCAATTTATTTTGCTAATATTTCCAATATACTTATATGCTATTTTTAAAAAAGATAGATGAGAAGACTCAGCAAAGTCAGATTACATTATGGGTTGGAAGAGAATAAACAAAATTTCAGGACATTAGGCATGGGCACAAAAAAATAGGACAGGCATGTCAAGTGAGGTTTGAGAAGCACAATCAGGTTAGGGCACCTCTGGGTAATGTCTGTCTTCTTTGGACAGGTCCAACACCTTACTGATAAGTATAGGAACATATATAATAAATATTTTACAAGGCCAAACCAAAGCAATGACCTTGTACTTCTCATTTAACTCCCCAGTAGGGTGTAAATCTTGGTTATCCTATAGCGTGGAGAGGGAGAGAGGACAGGAGGGAGGGAAGGACTGTAAGTCTAACAGATGAGCCTAAGTCAATCATTTTAGTCTGCATGCTCAATGGTAGGGATAATAACTACCATTATTTTTGAGGTGCTTAGCAGAAAACCCTGCATTTATGGAAACTTAATACATACTTTGAGGAAACTGTTAGCTCCAATTGGTAGGCTGGAGACAATGGAAAGAGAGAGGAGATTATTGACTAACTTCTGTCTAAAATGATTTAACTAGACCTCAATGTTCTCCTTCCTAGAAAGTTAAGAAATACATATAATGAGAGAACATTATTTGTAGCAAGTAAGTAGCTAGTGTACGATATAAACGGCAGCTTATTTAGAGGTCAAATGAACAATTTCTACTAAGGAGAAGGGGAATAATTTGGGGCACATCTCTGCAGAAAAGGTCTTAATTCATTTATTAAAGGTTAAAGATTAAAAATATGAATACTGAAAAAATACCTCTGAAGGAGAGAGAGCCATTTGTCCTTTTGTTCTGGAGAACTGCAATCAAAGAAAATGGGAGAGAAAAATTAAACCACATAAAATACAAATGCTAACAGATTTAGGATTGTCAATCCAGATGAAAATATCAACAACCTGTTGTTACTAATACAGTTGCACACATAAGCTGCAACCTTGGCATAATTGTGTTCTGGAGAACTCTGCAGTGGAAATATCCCTTTGGAAAAACTACAGTCAAATGTAGTTTTATTAAATCCTTTTGGATGGATCTAAGACAAACCCTCTTTTCTACTTTACTGCTTTTTTACAAGTGGTATTATATCAGTGTGAGAGAGTTCCTATAGTGGAAAGAGTACTTGATTTGGAATCTAACACTTGATTTCAAAATTATATGCAAGCTAGACAATCATGGGCAAGTCATTTAACCTCTAAGCCTCAGTTTCTACATCTATGAAACTGGGTTAGTATTTTCGTAGCTCACACGGCCATACAAATAGAAAGTATGCTTAATATTGAGAACACAGAGATTAAGAGAAATTTGGCATGTGAATGGAAATCTCTTTGCCCAGAAACCAGTTTGTTGTTAGGAAAAGAAACATTAAAAAAAAAATACATACAGCAAGATTATGATTTAGTAAATTAGTTCATTGAAAACTTATTCTTAAAAACTATAACCTTCTAAGATCAATCCATTTGCAACTAAATTAGTATTAATTTTTATGCTGATTTCACTATTACGTTTAATTCTTCAGATTAAAAATAATTTAAAGTTTATTCCTATGTGGTCTTGTCACTAACAAGCTTTTAAAATCATATTTCTCTCTCATATTTTTAAAGACAGGGGTCTTGCTCTGTTGCCTGGGCTGGAGTATAGAGGCATGATCATGGCTCACTGTAGGCTTGAACTCCTGGGGCCCAAGTGATCACGCTGGCTCAGCCTTTTGAGTAGTTAGGGCTACAGATGCGTGCCACAAGGCCTGGCTAATTTTCTAATCTTTTTAGAGATGTTGGAAATCCTAGTTATTTTATTATTTCCAAAAATACATTTATTCACTAACTTTATTGTTTAGCAATTTTCTCCATAAGCAATCTCCCAGGATTTGTCATCAGAAAGTGTACCACATTTTTTTCTTTTTTTTTTTTTTTACCATTGAGCATACATTTTCCATCTTTCACAATTCCTTACTATCTTTTGATGTATTCTCTTTTCTAAAATAGATTTTCTAGGTTCACTTATGTCAAATCTTGGATTTATTTAGCAAAAATCTGTTGAGAAACAGATAAGAGCTTTGCTTCAGACCTGCTAACTTTTTTCAAAGGAGTTAAAGAAAATTGCCCCTTTAAGACTCTTAGTATTTTTTTAACTTTTAACTGAAATAAAAGACATATAGAGAAAACTGCACAAAGCTTACATGTACAGCTTGAATAATTTTAACAAACTGAACACAGTCACATAAACCAGCACCCAGATCAGGAAATAGAAAATCACCTTGGAAGGTCCCTTATGTTCTTTTCCAGGCAGTAGTTTCCACTATCCTGACTTCCAACAGCACAGAATAGTTTTGCATGTTTGAGTACTTTATATAAATGTAACCATAAAGTATATACTATTTTGTGTCTGGCTTCTTTCAACATTATGTTTAAAAGATTTAATTATATTACTACATGTAGTTTTAGATAATTCATTCTCTTTTATTTTCTTTTTCTTTCTTTTTTTTTTTGAGATGGAGTTTCACTTTTTTTTTTGCCCAGGATGAAGTGCAATGGCGCAATCTTGGCTCACCGCAACCTCCGCCTCCTGGGTTCAAGCAATTCTCCTGCCTCAGCCTCCCAAGTAGCTGGGATTACAGGCATGTGCCACCACGCCTGGCTAATTTTGTAGTTTTTAGTAGAGACAGGATTTCTCCATGTTGGCCAGGCTGGTCTCAAACTCCCAACCTCAGGTGATCCACCCGCCTCCGCCTCCCAAAGTGCTGGGATTACAAGTGTGAGCCACTGTGCCTGGCCAATTCATTCTCATTGCTGTGTTCCCTTGTTTGAATAAACAGCATATATTACTTCAAAATATAAATTATGAAGTGTGTCAGGTTAATGTATGGAGATTGATTTGTGTAATCTTCTTGTATATTTCCCTTTCCCCCCTGCTCTATACCTGAATCCAGGACTCCCTTTCTTTAGTAATTCTTAATCTCAGGCATTTTTACAGGACTAAAAATAGAAGTACTTCAAAGTCAATGACTATCTCTGCGTTTTATAAATACTTAAACCCATTAAAAAGACAGTAAGATCCAGGACAGGAGAAAGCAGTGTATCTTGGAAAATAAAATAAAAAGGGCATGGCAGATTAGAAGATTCTCTCAAATTATGGAGGAGATAGAGGCCTGTCATCACTGAGAGTGAGCCGGGAACCATATGTCACTCAGTTAAGGTGCCCTAAGGAAACAGAAAGAACCCAGAGGAAATGGTTTTAAGGAGTCATTAGGGAGGCTGGGTCCTAGGCACCAAAGTTTTTATATCGGCAAAGATACCTTCCACCCACCCCCTGCCCCCCTTTATGGCAAAGCAGCAGAACATCTCTGGATATACAGGGACAACTCTGGGCATAGAAAAAAATGTCAACAGTGACCACAATAGACTAAAGTCAGAAGCCCTTTATCTGTTTTGGAGGCATCTTAGAAGTCTCCTGTATTCTAGTTCTACCTTACAAAAACAGCAGTTCCAGTAAAGAAGAAAATCTGATTTCCTACCAGCTTGGCAAAATGGGGGTTTAAGATGAGTTTTAATTTGATCTATAAATAAACACGCATACCTGAGTTTGTAGTCTAAGATTCACAGTAGGTACTTAAGTTAAAATATTATTTTCTGATTCTTATAGACCATTGTCAGATTCAAGGACTTCCTGTGTCTTTTGACTGATTTTCCCATTCTTTCATACCGTTATTTGTGAAATCAAGGTGCAGCACCTATTTTTCTGGTGAATCAGAGTATATGTAGTGATAGAGTATATGTAGTGATAGTGTATATGTAGTGATAGAGTATATGCAGTGATAGAGTATATGCAGTGATAGAGTATATGCAGTGATAGCGTATATGCAGTGATAGCATATATGCAGTGATAGAGTATATGCAGTGATAGAGTATATGCAGTGATAGAGTATATGCAGTGAGAGTGTATGCAGTGATAGAGTATATGCAGTGATAGCATATATGTAGTGATAGAGTGTATGCAGTGATAGAGTGTATGCAGTGATAGAGTGTATGCAGTGATAGAGTATATGCAGTGATAGCATATATGTAGAGTGTATGCAGTGATAGAGTATATGCAGTGATAGAGTATATGCAGTGGTAGAGTATATGCAGTGATAGAGTATATGCAGTGATAGAGTATATGCAGTGAGAGTGTATGCAGTGATAGAGTATATGCAGTGATAGCATATATGTAGTGATAGAGTGTATGCAGTGATAGAGTGTATGCAGTGATAGAGTGTATGCAGTGATAGAGTATATGCAGTGATAGCATATATGTAGAGTGTATGCAGTGATAGAGTATATGCAGTGATAGAGTATATGCAGTGGTAGAGTATATGCAGTGATAGAGTATATGCAGTGATAGAGTATATGCAGTGAGAGTGTATGCAGTGATAGAGTATATGCAGTGATAGCATATATGTAGTGATAGAGTGTATGCAGTGATAGAGTGTATGCAGTGATAGAGTGTATGCAGTGATAGAGTATATGCAGTGATAGCATATATGTAGAGTGTATGCAGTGATAGGGTATATGCAGTGATAGAGTATATGTAGTGATAGCATATATGTAGAGTATATGCAGTGATAGAGTATATGCAGTGATAGAGTATATGCAGTGGTAGAGTATATGCAGTGATAGAGTATATGTAGTGATAGTGTATATGTAGTGATAGAGTATATGCAGTGATAGAGTATATGTAGTGATAGGGTATATGCAGTGATAGGGTATATGCAGTGATAGAGTATATGCAGTGATAGAGTATATGTAGTGATAGCGTATATGTAGTGATAGAGTGTATGCAGTGATAGAGTGTATGCAGTGATAGAGTATATGCAGTGATAGAGTATATGTAGTGATAGAGTATATGCAGTGATAGAGTATATGTAGTGATAGAGTATATACAGTGATAGAGTATATGTAGTGATAGAGTATATGTAGTGATAGAGTATATGTAGTGATAGTGTATATGTAGTGATAGTGCATATGTAGTGATAGAGTATATGCAGTGATAGAGTATATGCAGTGATAGAGTATATGTAGTGATAGAGATGAAACTCCTTTTGGGCTTTTTTGAGATGTGACTACCCTGTTTTCCAAAGTAAAGCATGAAAAGCTCACATGGATTGCCTGCTCTTCCCTCAATTTGACTCAATTGGGAGGTTTTCAAAGATTCTGGCAATTGTCAGTCTTAGATTTCAATGCTATTAGTTTTTACTTTTTATTTTTATTTTTTTGAGACCGAGTCTTGCTCAGGCTAGAGCTATTGCCCAGGTTGGAGTGTAGTAGTGCAATCACAGCTCACTGCAGTCTTGAATTCCTGGATTCAAGCAATGCTCCTGCCACATCCTCCCAAGTAGCTAAGACTACAGATGGGTACCACCATGCTCAGCTAATTTAAACATTTTTTTAGAGATGGGGTCTATGTTGCCCAGGTCTATGGCCTCAAGCAATCCTCCACCTCAGCCTCCCAAGTAGCTGGGACTACAGGTGTATGCCACCATGCCTGCATAATATTTTGACTTTTTTGTAGAGATAGAATCTTGCTATATTGACCAGTTTGGCCTCAAACTCCCCCCCTCAAGTGATCCTCTCACCTCAGCCTTTCAAGCAGCTGGGATTACAGGCACCAGTCACTGTGTCTGGCTACATTTACAAAAAATAGTTATTATAGTAACTGGATAGTAGAGACTGCTTCTTTAACCTGCTACCTGATGGAATTTTAAATGGATGATGACCTAGATTTCCCTAACATTTCCAATGATTTCCACTCCTTCCTAAAGATCTGAGCTTCCCTCTTGTCTTTCACTTCAGTGTGAAAAACTTGTGTTAACATTTTTTTCGGTAGGACAGTTCTGCTAGTAATAAATTATTATAGTTTTTTAAAAAAATCTTCATTCTACCTTCATTTTAAAATAATATTTTTGCTGAATACTGTATTCTAGGTTAAACGGTTTTCAACACTTTAAAAAATGTATTCCATTGTCAGCTGGGCGCGGTGGCTCATGTCCGTAATCCCAGCACTTTGGGAGGCTGAGGCAGGCAGATCACCTGAGGTCAGGAGTTTGAGACCAGTCTGGCCAACATGGGGAAACCCAGTTTCTACTAAAAATACAAAAAAATTAGCTGGGCGCGGTGGTGTGCACCTGTAATCCCAGCTACTCAGGAGGCTGAGGCAGGAGAATCACTTGAAGCCGGGAGGCAGAGGTTGCAGTGAGCCGAGATCATGCTATTGCACTACGGCTTGGGCAACAAGAGTAAAACTCCATCTCAAAAAAAAAAAAAAAAAAAAAAAGCTCCACTGTCTTCTAACCTCCATAGTTTCTAATGAAAGGGCCATAATAATTCAAATTGTCATTTTCCTATTTGTACTACATTGTTTTTATCTGACTGCTTTCAAGATCTTTCTCTTATTTTTGATTTATGGTTGTTTATAACATGACTAGGTATAGTTTTCTTAATAGTCACACTGTCTAGGGTTCAGTGAGCTGTATATTTATGCCTTTTACCAAATTTAGGTAGTTTTTAACCACTATTTTTTCAGCCCCATTTCCTCGCTCCTCTTTCTGTAATTCCAGTGACATGTATATTATACTTTTTGATATATTCCCACAAGTCCGTGATACATTTTTCCTTTAAAAAATCTTTGCTTTTTTTTTCCTGTTCCTCAGATTACACAATTTGTATTGATAAATCTTCAAGTTCACCAAATCCTCTTTCATTTCCATTCTGCAAAGAAGGCCACTCAGAAAATATTTTATTTAAAATATTTTAGTTTTCAGTTCTAGAATTTTCATTTGGCCCTTTTTAGTATTTTTTATTTCTCTGCTGATATTTCCTATCTTTTTATTAATTTAAATTGAATTTTCCTTTTACCTGCCATGCTTACTTATGAAAGCTGTTTTAAAGTTCTTTTCTGGTAATTCAACATATGAATCATCTCAAGATTGGTCTCTATTGATTATCTTTTTCCTTGTTCTTCACATGTCAAGATATTTTAGATTGTATTCTGGACATTACAAATGTTTTGTTTTGGAGACTGTATTCTGTTATATTTGTGGAACAGTGTTGATATTTTTGTTTTAGCATAAAACTAACTTGATTAGATGAAGCTACAAACTCTATTTCATCTGTGATGAGTTGCGGCTCAGTTCGATTCTTTCAGTCTTAGCTTCAAGATGCTTTGAGTCTGTCTCATGCATGTGGGGTTTGGTGATCAGCCAGAGATTTGGGCAGTGTTTATACATAGAATTTGGAGCTTCTCTTCTCTGCTACTTTCCTTTTTGAGATTCTCCCCCTCATCCCACAATAGCTGTGGATGACATAGCTTCTGTCCTCTGGTTCTTCAGCTCAGAAAGATTGTTTTTGCCAGTTTTAGTTGTCCTACACCATGATGTAACTGTACCCTGCTCTCAGGCTAAGGCCTTAAAAACAGGAAACTCACCCAGTACTTGTGCCTACTTCCAAGTTTAAATTCCTCTCCAAAAGACCTCACTCTGCCATATCAGAGGCAGAATTCCTCAACACTTCACTTTTTTAAAAAAATAAATTCAGAAATTTTAGATTTCCGTAAAAGTTACAAAGATAATATAGAGATTCCCTACATAGTTCTCATGCTGTTTAAGTTCAGAGGACTCTAAATGTTATTCTTTTACATTATCATGGTCCATTTGTCAAAACTAAGAAACCAATATTAGTACATTACTATCAAACTCTTGACTTATTTCAGATTTCACCATTTTTTCCATTAATGTCCTTTTTCTGTTCTAGAAGCTAATCTAGAATACCACATTATAATTATTATATCTCTTTAGTAACTGATCTATGACCATTTCTCAGTCTTTCTCTGATTTTGTTTTTCTGACCTGGAAGATTTTAAGGGGTGCTGGTCAGGTATCCTGCATAATATAGCTCACTGTGTGTTTGTTGAATGATTTCCTCATGATTAGACTGGAGTTAAAGGTTTTTGGGAGGAAGATCACAAGGTTAATTGTTCTTCTTATCACAATACATCAAGGAGTACATGTTATCTACATGACATCACTGGTGATATTAACCTTGATCATTTGGTTAAAGAACCATAGTTTAAATAATATAATATAGGTAAAACTTCTTTCCACATTTTCCCCTCTTCTTAAAAAAAGAAGTTTCATGAAAATTCCTTGATTAAAAATGTCATGTAGTCATACCCTCACTTAAAATTACTTCCTTTCACCTGTAACTCCAAGGAGATAAAGCAATAGGAAATGAAAATATCTAGAGAAATCTGTCATGGAAAAGAAGATATGCTGAGAATGAAACAAACACATTTTTTTTTTCCAAATCAGTTCTTAAAATCTTGTGGTAGGCCAAATAGTGCATAATAGCATTTAATGACATGCCTATCTTTTAATAAAAGATTAACATCATGGAAAATTTAAGTTGTCTGGCTTTATGATGATGTCCTAGGAGTTTTGTGGTGGCAAGAAGAGAAGCAGAATAAAAAGCATCATGTGCATGTGATGGACACTAACTTTAAGTGTAAAACAAATACTGGAGAGGTTGGAACACAGTTATTCAAAATCACAGGTGTGATTGTGATTGTTCACTCTGAACTGGACAGTGCCAATAAAGCATAATCATTAGAAGAGGACAAATATTCTGTATTCATACATTCTCCAACCCCATCCTAGCATAGGAGCATGTCTTGGGAAACTCTGACTCCTTAAAATCATACATTTGCTTTTTATTGTCACATCTCTATAGACACCAACTCAAAACCTGCTATACAATTTGGGCAACCAGTATTTCATGAAATTAGTTTTATTTGTATAATAAAACACTATTTATTTAAAAATTCAGGAGTATAAACCATTAATTGAAACTTAATTGGACTATACAATTTGCTTCAATGAAAGTCTTTTTCAGTGGTTTGAAAAGACTGATAAGACTTGAAAGCTCAATACGTAAAACAAATACCTACATATTAAGGAAGGGGATGTTGAAGAGGGGGTCCTAAAGATGGGACTACTCTATTCCCCTTCCATATTCCTGGAAGTTCCTGTTGTTGCTGTTGTTGTTGTTGTTTTCACAAAAATAACTTGTCAAACCAAGGTACATAATCCCAAGAGTTCCCAATATTTACCATTAATTTTCACATATTTTAATCAAAAGCCCATTGGGAGAAATACATGGCATACAAGTATTTTGGTTGGGTGTATGTGTCAACAGATGAGTTATTGATTTAATATGGAATCAGAATAAAATATTTCCCTCTTAAAAATTAGAGGAACAACATTTGATTAATTTTTAAAATTTCAATCCTAGAAATTATCATAGTAGCTAACCCAGGTAAATAGAGGACAAGCTGTGGTTCTTACCTGAAAGTGGCCACAAAGTTCACTGTGGGCCAGCCCAAAACAAAGGATTTCATGGCATTGGTGTTGCCTTCTCCCACTTCATCCACACAGCTTGCTGTCCACATATCAGTTAATTTAATTTTATTTTTTATCTTAAAGTTATTGTTATATCTAGAAAGATAAAAACCAAACAGAACCTTTTGTTATTTTGTTTCTTAAATTTTATGGGAGCTTCTCTGGAAGGCATCATCCTCAGCAAACTAACACAGGTACAGAAAACCAAATACTGCATGTTCTCACTCATAAGAGTGAGAGCTGAACATTGAGAACACATGGACACAGAGAGGGGAATAACACATACCAGGGCCTAATGAGGGGTGGGGGATAAGGGGAGGGAACTTAGAGGACGGGTCAATAGGAACAGCAAACCACCATGGCACACGTAACCCTATGCAACAAACCTGCACATTCTGCACATGTATCCTGTTTTTTTTTTTAGAAGAAAAATAATTTATGGGAGTTTCTGTACTTGTGATAAAAGGACCATTTTCACTAATCATGGGCAAAGTGTCTTATTCATTGTTTTTATCTTCAGTGCCTAGAAGAGTAAACTAAAAAAGGGTTGGCTACCTTAGCCCAAGAAGATCTTTGAAACATTGGTGAAACAGTTAGTCCTCATGCCTGCATTTATGGCAAGAAATAGGCATAAACTGGCCACCTTATTTTTCTATATGTCGAGCATTGCATTTAGATCAAAAACCTAACTTCAAATGTACTGCTGTTACAAAATATTAATTCATTTATTATTTATAACTTGCCAATTTCCAAAACAATTTGAGTGGCTGAAAACAGAAAATACACAGGATTTATTTTTTTTTTATTTTTATTTTTATTTTTTTTTTTTTTTTGAGACGGAGTCTCGCTCTGTCGCCCAGGCCGGACTGCGGACTGCAGTGGCGCAATCTCGGCTCACTGCAAGCTCCGCTTCCCGGGTTCACGCCATTCTCCTGCCTCAGCCTCCCGAGTAGCTGGGACTACAGGCGCCCGCCACCGCGCCCGGCTAATTTTTTGTATTTTTAGTAGAGACGGGGTTTCACCTTGTTAGCCAGGATGGTCTCGATCTCTTGACCTCATGATCCACCCGCCTCGGCCTCCCAAAGTGCTGGGATTACAGGCGTGAGCCACCGTGCCCAGCCAGGATTTATTAAAATGTTTATAAAATTTTCATTTTAAGAGAGATGCACTAAAAAAACCCTGTAGTTAATTAGAAGAATTTATAATATATTTTCAATGAAGTGGCTACAAGATTTTCTAGCCTTTAGAAGCATAGGTTATTTTAAATTTCATTTCTTAGATTTTGTTCAACCATTTCCCCTTATATTCTGGTTAAAAGTAAAAATGTGCAGTCCCCCAAAAAGAACCTAAACCAAACTTAAAAAAAAAAGTAGGGTTGACACAATTAACATTCATCTCTGGGGACCTTGAAGGTGGTCTATTTTAATTCAAGTGAAATTGCTTTTAGACAATTTCTACCTAATCCCTGTAGACTCCTGATATGGAAACCACCATATCTCTTGACCTAATTGTCAGGTTTAACACTAGCAGGGACCTGAGACTTAAACAGAAGGCACAGAGAAGGATAAAGAGAATGCTCAGGAAAACATGGGTACTTCTTGGCATTCAGACCCATTTGTGTAAATACTAAAAGTTAAAATGAAATTAAAGGTACCTTATATGGAAGTATCCCTAAAAATTCCTCTGATTCATGGAATATTTAAAGCTAAAATTTTTCAGTGGAATTCATAAGATGAAAAAGGATTTTGCAGGAACTGAAGGAGAATCTAGATTCAAAGCCTCATTTATGATTCCCACAGAATTTAAGTGTAATAGAAAGTGCCTTGTGGCATAATGGCTTCTTTCTATATTTCAATATTTTCCACCCTATTGTTATGAATCTTTAGATTTTTAAAATAAAACAGACCCAATTACAGACCAAATTTTATTTATTGATGCCAACTGTTAAAACTACACATTTTTGGAAAAAATAGGTATCCTCCCATATTTGTTTTCACATATTTTGTATTTTCTGATGCAAGTCTCTATCTCAGTAGATGCTGCAGATATCATGTGGGAACATCCACATCCGTTGACCTGGAAAAAAAGTCATCCCAAAGATCCTTTCCCTAGATCAATAAGGTGCTACATTATCCACCCCGATTTCCAAAACAAGCAACTGTCTAAAAGTATAAACAATGACTTCCATTCTCCTATAATAAAAATAATGGCCAATATTTATTGAGAACTTACCATATACCATTGTTGTAAATACTTTACACACATTATTTAGTTTGATCCTCAGGAATTTTACAGGTAAGGAAATGGAGTCGTAGAGAGGTTAACCTGCTAAAAGTCACACAGCTTAAGTAGCAGAGCTAGAATTTAAACTTGGACAGTGTTGACTCCTGAGCTTATTTATGCTCTTAACCACTAGGCATCTATAAAAAGTCTTGGATATCACTATTCCTATAAAGCACCTGAAACCCGGGTGAAGTTATATTTTCCATGAAGTTCTCTTCAGCTTTTCAATCTTTGGCTTTTTTTTTTTAATCTCTCCAGAGCTACAAGGCTTTCTGATGTGGCTATTATGGAGGCTGAGGAAGAAATCTCATGAACACTTATGAACATAAAGCTAGATGGACTAGTTTGAAAATATTTAAAAGAAGTATTCCAATAAAGCTTTATATTAAAATGGGCATTCTTGGGGTCATAGAATGCTTCTTCAGATTTTTCCACTTTCAATTTCCATAGTATTAGACTATAGAAATTTAAAAATGCTAATTTAATGTGAACCGGCTCCAATAGCATGACGACTATCTCCAATAGTATTATGACAACAGGAATTAAAAAGTGTGAATCCAATATAAACAGACTGAACAAAACCCCCTAAAAATATATATATTTTTTTGAGACAGAGTTTCGCTCTTGTCACCCAGGCTGGAGTGCATTGGCATGATCTTGGCTCACTGCAACCACCACCCCTCAGGTTCAAGTGATTCTCGTGCCTCAGCCTCCTGAGTAGCTGGGATTATAGGTGCCTGCCACTACGCCCGGCTAATTTTTTTGTATTTTTTAGTAGAGATGGGGGTTTTGCCATGTTGGCCAGGCTGGTCTCGAACTCCTGACCTCAGGTGATCTGTCTGCCTCGGCCTCCCAAAGTGCTGGGATTACAGGTGTGAGCCACTGCGCCTGGCCAAATTCTTTATTTTGACAACGTAGTCCCTTATTACAAATTTATTAAGCTGACAGATGTACTTTGATTTCCTATCCTCCTATCTTCATACTGGAAAAAATTCCAGTGAATTGATGAAATACACAGGATTCCAGGGAGATTTCTCCCCATTCTAAGATAGGGATGTCTTATTAAACATGTTTTGGGGTAGAGTTCATTATATATTCCACAAATATCTGATGGTAATTCTATTAATAAATTTATTTCATCTTCTTCACCTAAACAGAACTCATTACTATTTACTATTTGCTTATTCTCATAAAATATGATAATAGTGATGGCTTACGAGGGTGTGAGGTAAATACAGTCATTTCTCCTTTCTGTAAATTCCATATGGGTGCTCAATGGCTATTATCAGAGAGAATATTAACTTCTTTCTAAATAATGTTTGTAAAACAGATCCTGGTTTTTAAAAAAGAAAACTCATGATTTTATTGGAAAAGTAACTTATTTATCTTGCAAATGCATATCAAAAGTGGTCCCCAAGTACCCATCTGGCTTTAATACTTTACTAATTTAGTATGGAAAAGAATTACCATAAACTCAAAACAATTTTCAGCAAACATTGTCGGCATCCAGTACAAAACAGATCAAATATAATAATTTAGTCAAAAGAAGGAAGTATTTAATACCCGTTTTACTGTTGTACTTACTAAAATTCACTAAACAAATATGTAGCAGTTGATTGATTATTTATCCCTCTCAAGTTTATTTCTCTAGGCCCAACCTAAGGACTGAAAGCAGTATCTAAAAGAAGCCTGAAGATGAGCTGATGTAATATGGAACCTAAGGTCCCCTCCTTGTCTCCTATGGCTCAGTAAGAGACTTAAGTGCTAATTTCAGATTATTTCAACAAATTAATTGATCCAGGGTAACACTCAATCCTTCATCCAAGGGTAAGAAATGACTCAGAAGACATAGGTTTGGAATTACAGGGACTATTTGCTTTTGATTGTTATTTCATAAAAATTAAGTTCTTTCATATTAAGAAGGATCTGTGAATATAACTAACTAACTGCTATGAGAATGATCATGTAATCAATTTCCTAAAAAATGGTGGTCAAAATTTTTGCAAAGTGGCAGGATTTAATAATAATAATAATCATCATCATCATCTCAAATATCTATGTTCTATCTCAGGGGTTTTGGATTTATGTCAAAAAATAACTTAGATCATTCGCACTTTTAAATATTCCCAATGGGTATAAGAAGTACTTAAAATAATCTTTCATAATTTGAACCTCTTAAATAACAGCATTTAAATCAATTGATAGAATTTTTTTCACTTCACGAAAACATTAAAGTGGACATTAAAGTTATCTCAAAAGCAGTGTATGGGAAAAAGTGGTATAACCTTATGTGAGAAAGGGACAATCAAAATAAAAAGTCAGCTACAGAAGCAGACAATGGGTACACATTTTGCCAATATATCTAAAAACAGCAATATTCTAGTGGAAAAGAAACTGTCTTTATATAAAATATTTTTAGCAAAACATAGATTCCATAAAAACAACTTACATGCTAACAGTATACAGCACAGTAAATAACCTCAGGTAAAAAAACAAAGGTCCTCTATTCTAGTTATCATTGTAACTGCTAAGGGGAAAAATATCCAAAAAAGGTGAAGGAAAATACATTCTTCCCTAAGAGCTGAATGCATGCTACAAGTAAATAGTCTTTAAGATCTTAAAGTTTAGAAAATTGGTTATTATAAAAAATTTTTGTTGTCTATTTATCTACCTCCAGGCTGAGGTATACATCTAATGAGTACTGTGTGCTAAAAAATATAGAAAGAAGCAGCCGTTGGAAGTAAGGCCTAGATTCAAACCCCAGCCCTGCCATTTCTTAGTATATAACAAACCTTCCTGAGCCTCAGTGTTCAATATCTGAAACAACTCTTATCTTGGGGGATTGTTAGGATAATTAAACGAAATCTTTGTGATTCTCCTATTATAATATCTAGCATAAAGAACTCATCCAATAATTTTTAATTAAGGGAATAACTGTTTTTTGAAAATAATGACTTTTTCCTCTATTAATAGTTTCCCAACTTAGAGCTTCAAGTGGACCTAGTGCAAAGATGTGGCTGGAGAAACTTATTCGTTCTCTTTATTCCTATAATACCATATCCTCTCCAAAACTATATCTGTAGGCATTCCTTCATTCTGAAACGGTTCTTATCTTTATGCTTGTCTTTAATTTAAAAAAATGTATAAAAACAGTTCACTAAGCATTCTACACCGTTTCTTATAAATGTGTATTTAGTTGGAGCCTTTTACTCATACACGTGGAGAGGAACTCAAGCCTCTGGCCACAAGCCACTGAGTAACTAAGGCTAACAGCATCCACTTGAGTGAGCTTGGAAGTAGATTCTCCAGCTCCAGGTGAGCTTTGAGATAACTTTAACCCAAGCCAGCAAGCTTGAGGGCTCTCGTGAAGGCTTGTAAGCCAGAAGCATCCAGTGAAACACTCTCAGACTCCTGACTCAGAGAAACTGCATGAGATATTTATAATTTTAAACTGTAATGTTTTTGGGTAATTTGTTAAATGGCAATAGATAATCAATATAGCCTACACAGGTCCTTATAACCTAACCCTTGTCTACTTCTCTAATCTTAATTCATCTTACTCTCCTTGGCTTGTTATGCTCCAGTTACACAGGCCTTCTTTTAATTCCTCCAAGTGCTAAGCTTTCCCCAACTACCTTTGCACCTGCTGTTCCCTCTCCCTGGAATGCTCATCCTCCAATATCTGAATGGCTGATTGCTTTTCATCCTTCACTGAATTTTTCCCCTGACTACACCTACCTAACATATATGCCATCTTTTACTTCACCCAGCACCCTATTTTCTTCATAGTACTAATCACAATTTGTCATTCTCCCTCACCCCATGCATAAGACTGTAAGCTCCCACATTAGAATATAAGCTCCCAAAGAGCAGGGACCGTACCCATCACATTCTTCATTGAATTTCCTACATTTATTCAGGACATGGCACAGAACAGGACCTAAATAAACACTTGTTGAAAAAATGAACAATCGATTTTTTTTTGCAATGAAGGGCATAAAATCACTTTAGATATTACCTATAGTAACAAAGGCAAGACATTCTTACAGTAAGCATTGAGTAGAAAGGGTATCTTTGTTAGTAAAAGTGCAATTTTATAATGATAATCAGGAGTATATAGTATACATACTTGATTTTGGCCACAACAAACAGATCATTGAATAGGAAAAGATGCCGCTCCTGCCTCTGGAGGCCTCTTTTGAGTTCTGCCCGGCCATCAATCAGCAGAGTCCTATTGGAGCACACTAATGATGACAGAAATGTGCATGTGTCAACACTAGCAGAAGGACTGTCCCTGTAACAGATCAAATGCCACAGATCAGTCAAACGATCATCTTATAGTTGGTCAAGAACTACAAAATTCTGTAATTTTTTTTAATACAATGGTATAGCATCCTAACTGGTCATGAGTCTATTCACCACACAGTAGTCTTTAATATTTCATTATGAAAATTTTGAAACAAAGAAAAGTTGAAATAGTTTTATAATAAACACATGTATATGTATCTCAATATAGATTCTACCATTAGTATTTTACTATACTTGCTTTACCAAATACCTATCCAACCATCCATTGAATAATTCATTTTATTTTTGGCATTTCAGGGTAAACTACATACAGGCAGTACACATCCCCCTGAATGCTTCAGCATACATATCATTAACTAGAGTTCAATTATTTATTTTGAATTTTTCTCTTGATATCAAATTTACATACAACAAAATGTAGAAATCTTAGGTGTATATCCACTGACTTTTGACAAATGTACTTATCTGTGTAATCTAAGCCTCTAACAAGATTTAGAAAGTGATCATCACTCCAAATAATTCCCTCTTGCCCCTTCTCAGCTATTATATAAATTAACCAAATATAGTCTCTATGGATTGGCTCCTGAGTTGTTTATTTCTCCACTGCAGGCTGAGACCTGTCAGTTCAAAACCTCACTAGTATCAAACTTAAATTTTTATATATCGAAGTATTTTAAAAATAGCCCAATCAGATTTTTAGCCAGTAACAGCCTGCCTGCTTTGCATACTCCATCAAACTACACCCAGCACCTGCTGGCCACTGAAAAGAGAGTGTCTGTGGTTATGAGACCCCCAAGTTGCTCATGCCCTTTAGAGCTCTCTGACCTAGCCATTCCTCACTACTGAGGAATGGACATCTACTCTCCAGAAATATCTGCTCTGATTCTTTTCTCCCCTGCCCTCCTTCCCTTCTGGATGGTGGCTCCTTGCCATAAGCCTCTGGACAGTCTCATACTGTGAGGGATTTACTCTCTCATGCAATCCTGTACAGTATGTTAAATCTTTGATCAGATCCCAAATACCTCAAACTCCTTATACCAGTCAATCCTGACTTGATCACCCCAGAGGTAACCACTATTCTGATTTTTCTTTTTCCCAAGAAAGACTGCCTGTTCTAGAATTTTATACAAATTGAACCACAGTATCTGTTCTTTTGTGTAAGATATTACTTCCTCATCATATTTTTGGAATTCATTCATGTTATTACATTTATCAGTAATTCATTCCTTTATCTTACTTAGGTATTCAATGTATAAATATGCCAGAGTTTATTCTTCTATTGTTGTATACTTGGGCTGTTTCCAGTTTTTAGCTATCATGAATAAAATGGCTATTAAACATTGGTACTAGTCTTTTTGTATCTATGTTTTCATTTCTCTTGGGTAAATACCTCAGAGTGGAATTGTTAGGTCACAGAGTAGGTATAAGTTTAATTTTAGAAAAACTACCAGTTAGTTTTCCATAACGATGGTACCATTTTACATTCCCAGCAACACTGTAAAAGAGTTCCAGTTGCTCCACGACCTTGCTAACATTTGGTGTTATCAATCTTTTGAATTTTGGCCAGTTTAGTGGATGTACAGTAGCCTTTAATTAGGATTTTTTTTTCTTATTTTGAGAAGGAGTCTTGCTCTGTCACCCAGGCCGAAGTGCAGTGGCATGATCTTGGGTCACTGAAACCTCTGCCTCCTGGGTTCAAGCAATTCTCCTGCCTCAGCCTCCTGAGTAGCTGGGATTACAGGCATGCACCACCACGCCCAACTAATTTTTGTATTTTTAGTAGAGATGGGGTTTTGCCATGTTGGCCATGCTGGTCTCGAACTCATGACCTCAGATGATCTGCCTGCCTTGGCCTCCCAAAGTGCAAGGATTACAGGTTGAGCCACCATGCCCAGCCTTTAATTAGGATTTTAATTTGCATTTCTCTGCTAATTTCTTTCACGTTCTTACTGGCCATTTGCATTATCTTCATTGGTGAACTGTCTTCAAATCTTTTGCTCATTTAAAACAGTTTGGGTTATGTGTTATTATACGCATATTGAGTTGTAGGAACTTTTTCATGTATCCTAGATTCCAGTCCTTTGGCAGGTTATGTGTTTTGGAAAATATTTTCTCCTAGTCTGTTGCTTGCCTGTAAACTTTCTTAACCATGTTTCTGACAAAAAGTTTTAAATTTTGACGAAGTTTATCAAATTTTTTCATATGGTGTTTACTTTCTGTGACCTTTCTAGGAAACTTCCACCTATCCCCTACTCATCAAGATATTCTCCAATGCATTCTATTAAAATATGTATGATTTTTAGTTTTTACATTTAAGTCTATGATCCATCCCAAATTAATTTTGCTTAATAAGGTAGAGGGCCAGGTTCATTTTTTTTCTATATGAATACTTCATTATCCTAGCACCATTTACACCAAAGACTTGGTGCTTACTTATATGTAAAGTAAGTTAGTTGGACTAGGACTATAAGATCTTTAAATTCCCTTCCTCAATGGATTGCTTTGGTACCTTCTTAAAATCACGACTATAAAGCATAGGTCTATTTCCAGGCTCTCTATTCTGTTGCACGGATTTATTGATTCTTATGCTATAACCACACTGTCTTACTGTTCTATGTTTATAGTAAATCATAAAGTTACGTAGTGTTAAGTCCATCAACTTTTTCTTTCTTGAGACTGTTTTAGATAATCTAGGTCTTTTGCATTTCTATGTGTTTTTTGACTCACCATTTTTTCACTTTATGATGGTGTGAAACTGATAGGCATTCAGTAGAAACTGTACTTCAGATTTTGAATTTTACTCTTTTCCTGTGCTAGCTTAGGTGTATTAAATGCATTTTCTACTCATGATATTCTCAACATATGATAGATTTATTCTGACATAACCCGTTGTAAGTCGAGGAGCATCTGCACATTTTAGAGATTAACAAAGTTGAAGAACAAAGGAGGGAAAGCCTATTGTGGCTGGGGAAGAAGAGATGACCTCAGTTTCAAATGTACTGAGTCTGAAATTATCAGTGGGCTAGGTGGTATGGCAAGATCAGGTAGGCATGCAGCACTTGGAAGAGATGTCAGAAGCAGAGATGTCATTCAAAGACAGGTGCATAAATAACTCTTTGTAATGGCTAGAACTGCCAAGGGAAGGAGCACAAAATAAGAAAAAAGGCAGAAACATATCCCTGAGAAAAGATGTAAGTTGAAGAGATGAAGGGAAGAGAACCTATGAACAAAGATGGAGACTGGTGAATGAAGTAGCAGAAAAAGAAAAAGTAGTGGTGGTCAGGAGTGCTGAAACTGACAGAAGGGATAACAAGCTGAGGTCTCAAAAGGTGTCTTGGGGTAAAAAGTCATCAGTTGGTCATTAAGACCTTTGAGAAAACAGTTCCAGGAGAATGGCGTAGGCAGAACTCAAATGTCTGGAATTTGAGGAGTAAAAGGATGAGAAGTGAGGAACTAAAGGCAAAACTCTTGTTGTTTTTTTAGCAGCTGAACACTAGAAGGTGACTTTAAGGATTCTAAAGTGGGTACAGCTGGTGAGGAAGGACAGGTAAGCGAGAAACAATCAGCCCTGAAGGTAGGTATTACTATCCCTCATTTTACAGATTTGAAGCTATTTAGGGTAGCCAAAATATACTGCTACTAAGGTGATTTACAAGTATGGTTTCATGTACTTTAAAAAATTCTATGTAGTCTTTCAAATGGACAAACACTGCATTGACTCAGCTTCCTCCTCCAGCCATGGTGATTGAGTTCAGTGGTTTAGGATTTAATGACTTGGGTGGAGTGCTAATCCAAGCCTTTTTGCTAAGTAATGTGATATGGCAAGTTATCTGGTTGGCTTAGTTTCCTATATGTAAAGTAAGTTAGTTGGACTAGGACTAGAAGATCTTTAAATATCATTTATAATTTATATATGGGACTAACTAAACATGTATCCAAAAGGTGGAATTAAGATTACTGATGAGAGGGAAATGGATAATGGATATGATTGGCTATGTCTGTGAGAACACTCCAATCCTAAAATATAGTTTATAAATGTGTAGTTAAGCATATTTGAGAGTCACTTCAGGGAAACAATCCAGAGCTGAACTAAATTAAAAGCCATGCAAAAGTCATAATAATGACAATGAGAACAGTTTTTTTTTTAAATTAGTCTAATTAAATGAGGAGCTCAAAGAACAAGTATTTCTCGGGGTCTCCATCAACGCATATGGTGTAAGAGGCCATGACTTGTCACCTCAATTATCAGGTCCACCTGGCAGCTATAAAAAATCAGAATTATGGCTTATCTATGTTTCTTGGGTTTGAATAGCATGGGTCACAGTGTCTGATCTCCCCTGGGTATACTAAAAGTATGAGGACCATACCCTATCCTAATAGCTCTGAATTAATCCCCAGTGGTCAGCCATCCCTTTCTCTATTACATTCTCATTGTGTGGACTCCTGATCAGCATCATCATCATCAACAGGGAACATGTTTTAAAAATGCAAATTCTCGGGCCTTCCTCAGGTTTATTGAATCAGAAACTCTGGAGGGTTGGCTCAGCATCCTGCAGTTTAACAAGCCAGTCAGGTGATTCTAATGCACATTGAAGTTTGATTCTAACGCACATTAGATCAACTCTCTTCATTAGTCTACAACGCATTCTAGCTCTAACATTGTAAAATTCTACAATAGTGTATTCCAAGTAAGTATAAGTAGTTTATAGTTCTACTTCAGCTAAGTTGAACTTTTGAGAGTTATTCCATCATTTCCTGTGATTTCTCAGCTATAGCTACCCCTTTCAAGAAGCGAAGTCTATTATGCTCACTAATTGCTAATTAACCACATACTATGTATAACTTAAATACATATAGGTGAATGATAAGGCAAGTATATAAATCAAAGTCCTGTGAAAGAAAAGGGAAAAGGAGTTTCTATGCTTGATATTATAGGTTGGAATTAAGCAGAGAACAAAGAAAAGGCCTACATTCACCATCACAGAAAAAAAAAAATCCTTTCTCAAGTTCTTCTGGGGGAGTTGAAGAAGGTATAATAGAATCTTTTAGTATGTAGTGATTTTCAAATGTATAGAAAACAAAAATAAAGCTTTCACTTGTTGAAACCGAGCAAGGACAAGGCTACTAAGCAATGAATGGGGGAAAGAATGGCTAAAATAATATTTTGCTGAGCTTTAATTTTTTAATTACATAACAGGAAAACTTTGCAAGAGGAAAAATCATCTTTTGCATTTTGGTTTAGGTATCCAACAAATAACTGCTTCTTGATTATAAGAAGAAGCCATCAGATTGCAGTATGGCTTAATCTAGGGACCTTCAAACTATTACTCAAAGGGTCTGATGATAGTTTAAGTTTTGTGGGCCATGCCATTTCTGTCAAAACTATTCAACTCTGCCCTTGTATTGCAAAGTCAATCATATACATAAATGAACAGGTGTGGCTGTGTTCTAAGAAAACTTTACAAAAATGGGCAACCTGTCTGGGTCATGGTTTGAGGATCCCTGGTTTAAACAATACTTCCAAAACATTTAAATGTTTATAAATAAAGGCTAATCTGAAGTAACTGGAAAATTATTATTATTATTTTGCTTGGGGTTGGCCTAGGCCAAAGATTAATTAGGCTATTTTTAAAAATAGTTTACATTTTAAAGCAATTCCAAAGGATTTTCACACACAATAACTCATTTTCCTCCTCGTGATATTACTTTCAAATAAGTGGACTGGTGCTGGTGTCCGGGAGAATTCACAATAAAATTAAATGATTTTCTTTTTCTGTGTGCATCTATCAGGCTGTCATTTTAAAAACCTATATGTAAGTGTGGTGAGAGATGCCTGAAGACTTTAGTAAAAAATTCATTCCATACACTAAAATAAAAGTAAACATCTCAGCACTCACATAATTTAAACGGAAAAAATTTTCATGGAAGGAAACAAAAACACAACTTTTGTGTTTTTTAATACAATATTAAAGTCTCCCATTTAAAAATGTGTTTCTCAATTTTATGACTCTGAAGTGTTTATTTTTATTCTGAGTGAAGTGTAGATGTGTTTATTTTACTCTTTTAGAGTATGGAAATGGGGAAAGGGTAAGACTATAACCTTCTATTTAGCCTTTTAATATAGCCTGATTAGGACTTACAAGTTATAATTAACAGAACTCTAAAATAATCTAACAAATCCAAGCAGAGTCTAGGAATTCACCTGTTGCTTGCTTTTTATGTATTAACATTCCATTTTCAAATGGGTTTGTGAAACCATTTCTGAAAAGCAAAAACAAGTTTTAGAAACGTAAAAACTAGAAAACAGCTTTCACAAAACCTGGCCACAGTAATATATCAGTATTTACAACTAAAGTTCATTCTAAAAATGAGTCCACTTTCAGGTACAGTTTTAGAGACAGTGTTGCTTAATCATAAATTACAAAGAAAATAAAATTCAGAATACTTGGAATTGTCTATGTTTATTAGTAATCAATTAGAGATTACGATAACAAGTACTAGATAGGATCTGGATAACCTTAAAGCCTGGTAAAATAATTAGCACATGGTCACTGACCGATAACTGTTAAATAACTACATAAAATTTACCTTCCAAAAATTTACCCATTTCTCAAAGCCCATTCCAAATATTAGTTCTACCATGAAAACTTTTTATCAACTGGATCTCTGCTTGGCATCTCTTATATGACATCTAGCACCTATGTTCTGCTTTATATATCGTAAATATTCTCATTCAACATTTATTGTGCATACAATTACCATATAATAAATTATTTGTAATAGTGATAAGGGCTGTCTTTGCTGGGTACCAGCCATGTGCCAGGCATAGGAACTAGATTGGGTCCTTGGCCTCCAAGAGTTATCAATCTGATAGGCAAGTCAGACAAGTAACATGATGATAAACAAGTGATGTAAGTACAATAAAAGAAATACAGAGTGCAGGAGCACAAAAAAGCAAAAACAGGAGACCCTATCTGAGACTGCATTGGCTAGGAAAATTCCTTGGAGGAACCAAAGTCTAAAGGATGAACAGAGAGACCAATGAAGGCTGAAGGGCACTTTAAGAAGGAACAGCATGTCAAATATGCACCTTGTGCTTCAGTAACTGGAAAATTCAGAAAGGCAGGAGTTATAAAGGCTTGAGAAAGATTAGCAGCAGATGAGAAAGGGGTACAGTCATTGGTGTTTCTCCTATCACGTAAGGGGCTTAGATTTTATTTGGAAGCACTACAGAATTTTGAGCAGGACATTGCATTTTGTAATACAGGTTGAGCATCCCTAATCTGAAAATCCAAAATACAAAATGCTCCAGAATCCTAAAATTTTTGAGCACCACTATGACACCATAAGTACAAATTCCATACTTGGCCTCAAGTATACAAATTTTGTTTCATGAACAAAATTATAAAAATTGCATTCAGGCTATGTATATAAAGTGTATATGAAATATAAATAAATTGTGTATTTATGCTTCGGTCCCATCACCAAGATATCTCATTATCTATAAGCAAATATTCAAAAATTAAAAAAACTGAAATTCAAAAATAAAAAAATGAAATTCAAAATACTTCTGGTCCCTAGCATTTTGTAACAGGGATACTCAACCTGTACACTGAAGAATACACAGGAAGGCAACTCAGAGTGAGTGAGACCATTAGGAAGTTACGGCAGTAGTCTTAGGTAAGAGATGTTGCACACCCAAGTTGGCAGTGAGAAAGGGATAGGAAAGACAACAGAAAACATAAAAGAGATTGTTAAAATTAATACATTGATTTACTGGGGGTGGGGTGGGGTGAGCTGGAGATGAAATTGACCAAGAAAAAGAAAATGTGGCACATATACACCATGGAATACTATGCAGCCATAAAAAATGATGAGTTCATGTCCTTTGTAGGGACATGGAGGAAGCTGGAAACCATCATTCTCATCAGACTATCGCAAGGACAAAAAACCAAACACCGCATGTTCTCACTCATAGGTGGGAACTGAACAATGAGAACACATGGATGCAGGAAGGGGAACATCACACACTGGGGACTGTTGCGGGGTGGGAGGAGTGGGGAGGGATAGCATTAGGAGATATACCTAATGTTAAATGACAAGTTAATGGGTGCAGCACACCAACATGGCACATGAATACATATGTAACTAACCTGCACGTTGTGCACATGTACCCTAAAACTTAGGGTATAATAATAATAAAAAAAGAAAAAGAATATAACCTTACTGTCCAGGTTTTATTTCCTTATTTTTAATTTTTCATCCAACAAATAACTGAGCATCTATATGTACTGTCTAGACACTGTGCTATATTAACATATGGAGTAAATAAGTCTGATTTTTTCTCTACTCTTGTGGAACTAGTTTAGCTGCTTGGCTCAGTTTCTAGTAGAGGTTGGAAACCGCAGCACACACTCATATTTTATTCGATACCCCCCCCCCACAAGAGTTTTAAAAAACATTTGATTTTGAATGTCCAGTTAGCCACATTCCCTCTCTGTTACTTCTTTACTCTGTCTACTGAACCTCCGAGTTCTCTGAAAGCATTAAGTCTATGGTTCTTGAGCTAGTGTGCTTTTTTTTTTTTAAACAAAAACAAAGAACTAGTATAAAAAACACATGTAAAATATCCCATTGTTACCATTTAAAAATGCATAATTCAGTGGCATTTAGTACACTGACAGTGTTGTAAAACCATTATCACTACTTAGTTCCTGAATATTTTCATTACCCCTAAAGAAAAACCATATAGGTTTTTCTATAAGCAGTCTATAAGCTTTTCTATAAGCAGTCATTCCCCATTCCCCCTAGTCCCTGGCAACTACTACCATCTTTCTGTCTCTATGGAGTTGCCTATTTCGGGTATTTCACATCATGTAATATCTATCCTTTCATGTATGGTTTCTTTCCATTAGCATAAGGTATTCAAGATCTGTTCATGTTGTAGCATGTATTAGCACTTCATTCCCTTTTGCTGCTGAATAATATTCTGGTGAACGGCTATAGCACATTTGTTTATCCATTCATTAACTGATGGACATTTGGGTTGTTTCCACCTTTTAGCTATTGTGAATAGTGCTAAGAATTCATGTACATACTGTTTTTGAATATCTGTTTCCAATTCTTTTGAGTACATACCCAGGAGTGGAATTGCTAGATCATATGGTAATTCTATGTTTAACTTATTGAGGAACTGCCAAACTGTTTCCCACCATGGTTACACCAGTTTACATTCCCACCAGCAATGCATAAGGATCCTAGTGTTACTTTAGACTTCTCCCCTTTTGCTTCCCACATAAAGTCATTTCTTATGTTTTGAGAATATTCTAATTAAAAATAAAATTTTTTAACTCTGGATCCTCATAACCTATAGTTTATAATGAACTCCTAACTGGATTCTCTAATTTTTACCTCTCTCTTTTCTCCAATCTATACTACTCACCTCTCTCAAATTAATCTTCCGGATGCATAGTACCAATGATCATAGCATAGACACTGTCTAAAGGGTAAGCCCAGATCATTAGCTTATCAAGTTCTAGCATCTGTTTTACCCTACCTGGTTCTGACATGTAGGTTAGAACTTTCTATATTGCCTGTGTAACTCTGCAGAGTGTTAGGGAATAAATCAGTCCAGATATCATTTGGAACAAAAAGACTACTGAAATGAAGCTACAAAAACCACTCTCAACATCAAAACTCTATCTTATTCAGCAATGCAATCCTATTATTTATTTATGACTATATTGAACATCTAGAATTAAAAGTATATTATATGGGAATCTAATCTATGGCAATTATCTGTCTTAATGAGATCAAACATGAGAAAGTACTATTACATTCTATCACCTTGATAAAATCACATTGAAATTACCAAAGAAAATAACATGTAGTGATTATAACAATGTGATTGTATGTAATATGTACTGTAACTTCAATGATTAAATAATAAATCAGGGGGAGGGGGGAGGGACAGCATTAAGAGATATACCTAATGTATATGACGAGTTAATGGGTGCAGCGCACCAACATGGCACATGTATACATATGTAACAAACCTGCACGTTGTGCACATGTACCCTAGAACTTAAAGTATAATGAAAAAAATAAATAATAAATCATGTAGCTCATAGTCTGAATTATGACTTGTATTATGAGAACACAGCCTAGTGATAATAGTAATACCAGCATCAAAATGAATGAAGACAGGATAAGGGCTTGGTAAGATAGGTGGACAAATCGTTAGATAAACAGAGTGAGCAAGGGCTTAAAAGCAAGAAATATATAAAGGAGCACTTTTAAATTATCAAGATGCTGATGGGAGCATATGCGATACAATGAGATCAATACATCAACAATGATACTAATATTTAAAGACCAAGGAAAACATAAACGTTAAGTAAGTAAAGACAGAATAGAAAGATGAGAGACAGAATAGAAGGAGAGAGTGAAGGTCAGAGAAGGACACTAATACACAGAGTCACACTAATAGAGTGAGATCCATACACAAAGTTATTATTTCCAAAGAAGAGAGTAACTACATAATTTCCTCATAACCTTGACACAGAAGTTGTTTAACAACATCTATTAGGAATTCACTTAGTACAAGGCACTTGATAAAACATTATCAAGAAGGAAAGGAACAAGATTTTATGAGCATTGTCTCTAAAGACTTTAAAAGGAAACAATATATGAATTATATATAGTGATGCAAGACAACTAATCAGGAAAAATGAGAGTATTTGAACTTCAAAGAGCCTCGTGAAAATGGCATCCCTTTAAGAATAGTTCTGCTTCATTTTGTTTTCTTCCCCCCCAACCCTCAGAGGCTGTAGTGAGCTATTACCATGCCACCACACTTCAATCTGGGCAATGGAGCAAGACCCTATCTCAAAACAAAAAGCAAAACAAAATGAAACAAAAACAACACAAAACCTTCATTATGAAAGAATGAGAAGAATCAATAGAAACAGATCCCAACTAAGGGAGAAACCTCCAAACCAATTTAGTCATCTTTGTGTGTGGCCTGCTGACTTAAAACTACTACCTCTCTTCATTATCCACTAAGTAAAATTCGTTTGGCTACTCATTTTGAATTCAAGTTACTCAGAGAAATTTATATGTGTAATGATTACACTGTATGTGGTTCTGTTAGTTTGTTTATGGATTCAACAATGAACAAGGTCATCAATATGCTTACTGGGAACTCCAACAGTTTGAGTTTTCTTGAGATAATAATTACATAATGGTACACTTAAAGGAACGAAATAATTAAACCTGATTAAAAATAATTCTATGTATAATTTCTGGATCTTCTAAAGTTAAAAAACTAACTGATTTTGCATCCTGAAACTTTACTGAAATTGACCAGTTCTAAGAGCCTTTTGGCGAGTCTTTAGGGTTTTCTAGGTAGAGAATCATATCGTCGGTGAAGAGAGATAGTTTGACGTCTTTTTATATTTGGATGCCTTTTATTTCTTTCTCTTGCCTGATTGCTCTGGCTAGCACATCCAGTACTATGTGGAATAAAAGTGGTGAGAGTGGGCATTCTTGTCTTGTTCCGGTTCTCAAAGAGAATGGATCCAGCTTTTGTGCATTCAGTATGATGTTGGCTGTGGGTTTGTCATAGACAGCTCTTATTATTTGAGATATATTCCTTTGATACCGAGCTTGTTGAGGATTCTTATCAGGAAGGGATGTTGGGTTTTGTTGAAAGCTTTTCCTGTGTTTATTGAGATAGTCACATGGTTTCTGTTTTTAATTGTTTATGTGGTGAATCATGTTTATTGATTTGTGTATGCTGAACCAACCTTGCATCCCAGGAATAAAGTCTACTTGGTTGTGGTGAATTAACTTTTTGATTTGCTGTTGGATTTGGTTTGGTAGTATTTTGTCGAGGATTTTTGTGTCTATGTTCCTCAAGGATATTGGCCTGTAGTTTTCTTTATTCATTGTTGCTTTGCCAAATTTTGATATCAAGATAATGCTGGCTTTGTAGAATGACTTAGGGAGTCCCTCCTCCTCGACTTTTTAGAATAGTTTCAGTAGAACTGGTACAAACTCTTCTTTGTATGTCTGGTAGAATTCGGCTGTGAATCCATCTGGTCCAGGGCTTTTTTTGGTTGGTAGGTTTTTTATTACTGCTTCAATTTCAGAACTCATTGGTCTGCTCAGCGTTTCAGTTTCTTCCTGGTTCAATCTTGAGAGGCTGTGCATTTCCAGGAATTTGTCCATCTCTTCTAGATTTTTTAATTTGTGTGGATAGAGCTGTTCATAATAGTCTCAGGATCTTTTGGATTTCTGTGAGATTGGTTGTAACATCACCTTTGTCATTTCTGACTGTACTTATTTAGATCTTCTTTTTCTTTGTTATTATACCTAGCAGTCTCTCAATCTTGTTTATTCTTTCAAAAAATCAACTTCTGGTTTTACTGGTCTTTTGTATAGATTTTTATGTCTCGATTTCATCCATTTCTGCTCTGACTTTATTTATTTTCTTCTGTTAGCTTTGGGATTGCTTTGTTCTTGTTATTCTAGTTCCTCTAGATGTGACGTTAGATTGTTAATTTGAGCTCTTCCTTCTTGATGTGGGTGTTTAGTACGACAATCTTTCCTCTTAACACTGCTTCAGCTGCATCCCAAAGACTCTGGTATGCTGTGCCTCTGTTTTCATTAATTTCAAATACTTTTTTTTGATTTCTGCCTTAATTTCGTTGTTTAACCAAAAGTCCTTCAGGAGCAACTTGTTTAATTTCAATGTAATTATGTGGTTTTGAGAAATCTTCTTGATACTGATTTCTATTTTTATTGCATTGTGGTCTAAGAGTATGCTTTGTATGATTTTTTTTTAGTTGATTGAGATTTGCTTTATGGTGAACATGTGGTCAATCTTAGATAATGTTCCATGTGCAGATGAGAAGAATCTTCTGTGGTTGTTGGGTAGAGTATTCTGTGGGTGTCTATTAGGTCTAATGGGTCAAGTGTCAAGTTTAAATTCGGAATTTGTTAGTTTTGTGCCTCAATGATCTAACACTGTCAGTGGGGCCCTGAAGTCTCCCATTATTATTGTATGGCTGTCTAAGTCTTTTCATAGGTCTAAAATAACTTGTTTTATGAATCTGGGTGCTCTAATTTTGGGTGTGTGTAGACTTAAAATAGTTAAGTTTTCATAGTGAATTGAACCCTTTATCATTATAGCATTTCTATACAACAATGAGCAAGCTGAGAGATAAGTCAAGAATGCCATTCATTTACAACAGCCACAAACAGAACACAATACCTAAGAATACAGTTAACCAAGGAGGTGAGAGAACTCTACAAGGAGAACTACACTTTTGAAAGACATCTAAGATGACGTAAATAAATGGAAAAACATTCCATGCTCATGAATTGGAAGAGTTAATATCATTAAAATGGCCATGCTGCCCAAAGCAATCTGCAGATTCAATGCAATTCCTATCAAACTGCCAATGTCATTTTTCACAAAATTAGAAAGAAACTATTCCAAAATTCAAACAAAACAAAAAAAGACACGAAATAGTCAAAGCAATCCTAAGTAATAAGAACAAAGCTGGAGGCATCACATTACCTGACTTCAAACCATACTACAAGATCGCAATAACCAAAACAGCATGGTACTGGTACTAAAACAGACACAGAGACCAATGGAACAGAATAGAGAGCTCAGAAATAAAGCTGCATACCTACAACCATCTGATCTTTGACACAGGCAATAAAAAAACAGGGGAAAGACTCCCTATTCAATAAATGGTGCTGGGACAGCTGGCTATCCATATGTAGAATAAAACTGGATCCGTATCTATCTCCCTATAAAAAAATTAACTCAGGATGGATGAAATACTCAAATGTAGGACTATAAAAATCCTAGAAGAAAACCTAGGAAATACCATTCTCAATATTGGCCTTGACAAGAAATTTATGTTTAAGACCTCAAAAGTAATTACAACAAAAACAAAAACTGTCAAGTGGGACCTAATTAACTAAAGAGCTTCTGCATGGCAAGAGAAACAATCAAAGGAGTAAACAGACAATCTACAGGGTGAAGGGAAATATTCACAAACTATGCATCTGACAAAGGTTTACTATCCAGAATCTATAAGAAACAAACAAATCAACAAACAAAATCAAATAACCCCATTAAAAATTTTGTGAGCAAAGGACATGAACAGACACTTCTCTCTCTCTCTCTCTCTTTTATTTTTTTGAGACACAGTCTCACTCTATCACCCAGACTGGAGTGCAGTGGTGCAATCATGGCTCACTGCAACCTCTGCCTCCTGGGTTCAAGTGATTCTCATGCCTTAGCCTCCCGGGTAGCTGGGATTACAGGCATGAGCCACCACACCCCGCTAATTTTTGTATTTTTAGTAGAGACGGGGTTTCACCATGTTGGCCAGGCTGATCTTCAACTCCTGCATCAAGTCATCTGCCCGCCTCAGCCTCCCAACAGTGCTGGGATTACAGACATAAACCACTGCGCCCAGCCAAACAGACACTTCTCAAAAGAAGACATACAAGTGGCCCACAGACATATTTTTTAAAATGCTCATCATCACTACTTGTCAGAGACATGCAAATCAAAACCACAGTGAGATACTATCTGACAGCACCAGGCAGAATGGCTTTTGTTAAAAAGTCAAAAAGCAACAGATACTGGTGAGGCTACAGAGAAAAGGGAACACTTATACACTGTTGGTGGAAATGTCAACTAATTCAGCTACTGTGGAGAGCAGTTTAGAGATTTCTCAAGAACTAAGAGTTGAACTATCATTCAACTCAGCAATCACATTACTGGGCATATACCCAAAGGAAAAGAAATCATTCTACTGAAAAGACACATATGTACCTGTATGTTCATTGCAGCACTACTCACAATAGCAAAGACAAAATCAGCCCAGGTGCTCATCAATGGTGGATTGGATAAAGAAAATGTGGTACATATTCACTATGGAATACTATGCAGCCATAAAAAATGAAATTATGTCCTTTGCAGCAATATGGATGCAGCCGGAGGCCATTATCCTAAGTGAACTAACACAGAAACTGAAAACCAAATACTCCACATTCTTACTTACAAGTGGGAGCTAAACACTGTGTACACATGGACATAATTATGGTAACAATGGACACTGGGGACTATTAGAAGGGGGAGAGAGGTAGGGGGCCAAGGGCTGAGAAACTACCTATTGGGTACTATGCTCACTACCTGGGTGATGGATTCATTCATACTCCAAACCTTGGCATCATGCCATATACCTTTTTAACAAATCTGCACATGTACCTCCTGATTTAAAATAAAAGTTGAAAAAAATCACCTAATAACTCCTATTTAGGAAATTTATAAATATTGTATTATACATACAAATTACAAAGTCCTCAAGGCAGTATACTCTAGGCAGTGACTTATCTACTACCTTCTGCTCACTTATGCCAAAATGTCAATATTCAGGTTGATACACAAATGAGCTGATTCAATTAATTGATTCATAACTAAAAGAAAACAGCTGGCTTTGAAAGGAAACTTTTAACTACTATCCTGCCAAATATTAATACCTACATAATATATTTCAGGATAAGGAGGAACCACATAATGAATAATTGCTTTAAGACATCTTCTTAAAGCAAACCATAGCAACGATTTGACTGAAGTATCTTAAAGAAAAAACTCATTAGAGGCTTTGAAATAAATTTTGAGCACATTCCTGTTTTGAAAAATTTATTTCAAACCTTCTCAGAAATAAAAAAAACATTTTTTAGTGAATGCTAAATAAAAAGTTGAATATAAAGGAATATTTTAATCCAGTGTATGGTTTTTCTATATTAAGATGGTTATCTATTTGACAAAGGGTGAACTTTTATTTTTTAAATCCCAAATTATATTCCATATTTACAAATAATTTATTCAGTCACTTACATATTAATGATTGCCTACAGTACATGAAGCACTATCTCCAGTACACTGGCTGGGGATATGGCAGCCAGTGAAGTAGCCAGGGCCATGCAAAAAATTTCACCTTCTGAGTGAGATAGGAAGAGGGTATGGTTTAAACAGGGAAGAAACATAATTTATATGGTGAATAGACTGGAAGAAGGCAAGAGTGGAAGCACATAACAGATACTTGTTCAAGAAAATTTTCAAAAAAAATAATAGTAATAAGTTGGCTAAAATTTCTTAAATAAAAATTTACTGGAGGCTTTTTGCAATGCAGTAACTTGAGAGAGAGAGAATGGAGCTTTGTAAAAGAATGGTAGCTGTGGGGGTTTTAGTAAGAAGCAGTTTTATTCTGGAAATATTTCATAGGTGGTACTTAACAGGATTTAATTATAGATTGATTTTGTGTGTGTGTGTGTGTGCATGCGCGCACATGCATGCAACTGGGTTAAGGATGGAGATAAGAAATTTGGTTTGAAACACCTCTTAGATATCGAAATGGGGATTTAAAATCTATGAAAGAGATCAGGTCAAGTAAGGAGTTAGTATAGGTGGAGAACAGGTTCAAGTACTGAGCCCTGGGGACACCAACCTTTTGAATTTGGTAAAAGGAGAAACTAGCTGAGGGAAAGAGCTGTCAGTAAACAGAACTAAGAAACCAAGGGAAGATAGGACAGACAAGGGTTTCCAACACTTCAGAAAGGTCTAGAAAGAGGATTTGATCATTGAACTGAGCATTATGAAGGTCTCCAGTGACCAAGAGAAGAACAATTCTGGTAGGCATCCATGAAGAAATGATTCCAATGTGGTTTTATGTTAACAACATATTTTCATAACTTTTTTTATGCAAAGGCACTAACTTGTTTCAAAGCCTACTCAATTTTTGGAAAAAAATTTGTTAAAAAGATAAAAAATAGAAATGGAAACACACAAAAGTAGTTTTGAAATCAAAGGAAGGAATGGTTTTTGGCCTTTAATTTGATAGAGCTATTTGCAAAGCTCTTAACAGTATTCTCTCACTATAACAGATAAATAAAGTTAATAGAACATAAAATCTATTCATAACTAGAATAGGCATTCTCTCATATGTTACAGAAAATTCTCCCCTACAGTGCCAGGAAAGGATCTCCCGTCTGAGAATGCAAAGCATGCTTTTTAAAACACTAGCAGTTTTCTGTAAATTGGTGTTGAAGTTAAGAATCCATTGATATGTTATAAAGAAAGGAAGTCAGAACACTTTGATAGTCTATTTCAGTTTTCAAAAAGAATGTTTTAAAACTACCTTATGTATTAAAGCATTGAATAACTACCAAAAAGCCTAGGACATTTTTTGTTTCAACCTTTGGGACCGCACGATCTTCCTTTTTACCAAACCCAAACTCGGTCAGTGATATATATAATATATATATATATGTAAATATATATATATATATGTAAATATATATATATATGTAAATATATATATGTATATATATATATATGTAAATATATATATGTAAATATATATATGTAAATATATATATGCATATAGACAAAGTCCTCAAAGACATATGTGTATATGTCTATATGCATATGTGTATATGTGTGTGTGTGTATACATATATATATGTGGATATATATGTGTGAATCTGAATCCTTGATAACTGAGGATTAAACAGTTGTTAGAGACACCAGTAATTATGATTAGGGACAGAAGAATAGACTCATAAGTTCCACACCATAACATGAATTTTTTTTTTTTTTTTTTGAGACAGAGTCTCACTCTGTTGCCCAGGCTGAAGTGCAGTGGCTCAATCTTGGCCCACTGCAACCTCCACCTCCTGAGTTCAAGTGATTCTCCTGCCTCAGCCTCCCGAGTAACTGGGATTACAGGTGTGCACCACCATGCCCAGCTATTTTGTATTTTTAGTAGAGACGAGGTTTCACCATATTGACCAGGTTGGTCTTGAACTCCTGACCTCGAGAGATCCACCTGCCTAGGCCTCCCAAAGTGCTGGGATTATAGGCATGAGCCACCGCACCCAGCCCATGAAATGTTTTTAAGTCAGTAAGTCCCTTATGTTAGCCTGAAATAAAATATTCTCATGTCTTTTTTGATAAAAGTACCCCAAAATTCAGGTAACTGAGGTTTCCAAGTAACTTGATTATTTACTTTACTGTATTAAAATTTATTCTAGGTAGAATAAAAGGAATAACATATTAAGAAGACACTAAAGTTTTAGATAGGGCTGCCTTAACATCAAGTGTTTCATGCAAGCCTGTGCTGGGGAATCTAATTTTGACATGTATGTTTTGAAGCATTAAAATCTAACATTTTAATTTAAATACTTTCTCTTTGCAAACAAAAATAAAGACAAGTCTTAAAATAAAAGCTTTAGATGACTTTTAAACAGTAAAGAGAAACAATTTTTATACTTACTATTGTTTGTTTTCCAATTATTAAACCTTTTTTTTTTTTTTTTTTTTTTTGGAGGGGGTCTTGCTATGTTTCCCAGGCTGGTCTCAAACTCCTGGCCTTAAGTGATCTTCCTGTCTCAGGCTCCCAAAGTGCCAGGATTACAGATGTAAGCCACCACACCCAACCAACATCTTTCATTTCATTTCACTATCCCCAAAACAAGAAACAAAACAAAAAACAGAAATCCTCTAAATCGATCAGGCACAAGTTGACTGCCATCAATATGTATTGAAAACAAAGTATTTAGATGTAAAAATGAGACAAGCTTAAAGTTGGTATCATAGAAAAGAAGTATATTAATAGAGTTCAAATATTAAGAGTTTAGGAGTCAGAATGTGTCCTTCCAACGAGGCGGTGAGCTGGGAAGAAGTGGGGTGGGCAGGAAGGAAGACATCAGAAAAAACTTTACAGAGGAATCAGTGTTTCATTTGAATCTTTCAGAGAGTTACATTTTAGACAAAAGAAAAAAACTGTAGAATAAAAAGATGTGTGATATGCTAAAAGTTCACAAAGCTACTTATTGCAAAGCCAGACCTGGAAAAACGGTTTCCTGAAGCTCAAAACAAGTAGATTTTGGATTAGGCATAAAATTTTGGACAGAAGCAGCAGTTTTGACAGTACTTTTTAAAATCTAGTTTTACTAGATCTCTATTTTTCCAGTTCTCTCATTGAATGAAATAGGTCATAATGAAAAAAATGTGCTAAAAGGTCACTGAGGACAATAAAAACTCCATAGCTTATGTTTAAATTACCTACATTTCTTGATCTTTCTCCTCTCTGAGCACATAAACTACATGAAATCTTTAAAAAAATCTCTGTGTCCCTGGTATATGAGCAGTATCTGACTCATAATGGGTGTTATAATTATTTGTCGACTAATAATAGCCTACAATGTGCTACTTAGCACTTAATTATACATCTTTTGTGTTTTCTACTTATTTTATATCTATATGCCATGTTTCCCCAGCTGGATGGTAAGCTCCTAGGGGGCACTTTAATTATAGTATGTATCGAGGTAGGATGCAAATCTTATTTCTGAACCCCTGTTCCTAGAACTGTGCCTAGTACAGAGGATTCAAATGTTGCAGAATTAATAGCTAAACAAAACAGCATCCTTAGTTTCTTCTATAACTACAAAAGTAGAGAAATCCTAAAGCCACTTTGATCTGCATCTGTGGTGCTACAAATAATTTTTAATTAGAGTAGAGTGGGGATGGGAAAGGGAGGTTTTTCTTTCTTTTGGCTGGTAATCACCACAGTTCCAGTAACCCAATGGAATACAGGATAAAGAAAGTAACTAACTCTCTTGAGTGGAGGCAGACTTATCTGCTTATCTGCTCCCATTCTCTACCTTTATGTCTGTAGTCTCACCTCTACATCCACACCACTCTATTGCTGGAATTATTTTCCACTAGTGCTTCTAAATAAAAATTAAAAAAGGAAGAGGGGAGAATTCAGGAAAGATGAGTACTTCATGCAATTTAGTTCATAGCAGCAGGGATTTTTTTCAAGTGATCAAAGCATTCTAAAAAGTGAGAAAAAGTTAAAAGCTGTTAGAAATAACTTTAGCCAACTGTCTCTCTTGCCCATGCTAACAGACTCTAATTCAGACTTACCCCTCTCAAAGACCTGGGTTGTGTACACATGTGCTAAGATGCCCAATGTAGTTCTGGAATTCTAAGCCCTGATGCGAGGACAAATCTTTCAATTTTGCTACTTACAAACTACAAAGCTTGGCCACATGGCACTTATTCTAAAATTGATCACATAATTGGAAGTAAAACGCTCCTCAGCAAATGCAAAAGAACTGAAATCATAACAGTCTCTCAGACCACAGCACAATCAAATTAGAACTCAAGATTAAGAAACTCACTCAAAACCACACAACTACATGGAAATTGAACAACCTGCTCCTGAATGACTCCTGGGTAAATAATGAAATTGAGGCAGAATCAAGAAGTTATTTGAAACTAATGAGAACAAAGAGACAATGTATCAGAATTTCTGGGATGCAGCTAAAGCAGTGATAAAAGGGAAATTTATAGCACTAAATGCCCACATCAAAAAGCTAGACAGATATCCTAACATCACAACTAAAAGAACTAGAGAACCAAGAGCAAATAAACCCCAAAGCTAGCAAAAACAAGAAATAACTAAGATCAGAGTGGAACTGAAGAAGGTAGAGACATGAAAAACCCTTCAGAACAACAACAAATCCAGGAGCTGTTTTTTTTTAAATTTAATGAAATATTAATAGACTGCTAGCTAGACTAACATGGAAGAAGAGACAGAAGAATTGAATAGATGCAATAAAAAATGATAAATGGGATATCACCACTGACCCCACAGAAATATAAACAACTATCAAAGAATATGATAAACACCTCTAAGCAAATAAACTAGAAAATCTAGAAGAAATGAGTAAGTTCCTGGACACATACACCCACCCAAGACTGAACTAGGAAGAAGTTGAATCCCTGAATAGACCAATAATGAGTTCTGTAATTGAGGCAGTAATAAACAGCCTACCAACCAAAAAAAAAAAAAATAAAACCCCAGGACTAGACAGATTTATAGCTGAATTCTACCAGAGGTACAAAGAGAAGCTGCTACCATTTCTTCTCGACCTATTCCAAACAACTGAGAAGGAGGGACTCCTCGCTAACTCATTTTATGAGACTGGCATCATCCTGATACCAAAACCTGGCAGAGATACAACAAAAAAAGAAAACTTCAGGTCAATATACCTGATGAACATCGATGCAAGAATCTTCAATAAAATGCTGGCAAATTGAATCCAGCAGCACATCAAAAAGCTTATCCACCACAATCATGTTGGCTTCATCCCTGGGATGCAAGGCTGATTCAACATATGCAAATTGATAAATGTAATTCATCACATAAACAGAACTAGAGACAAAAACGACATGATTATCTCAATATATGTAGAAAAGGGCCTCACTAAAAATACCTAGTTTATTGTTAAAAACTCTCAAAAAATTAGGTATTGAAGAAACATACCTCAAAATAGTAAGAGCCATTCATGACAAACCCACAGCCAGTATCATACTGAATGGGCAAAAGCTGGAAGCATTCCTTTGGAAAACCAGCACATGACAATGATATGCTCTCTCTCCAGTCCTATTCAACATAGTATCGGAAGTTCTGGCCAGGGTGATCAGGCAAGATAAAGAAATAAAGGGTATTCAGATAGGAAGAAAGGAAGTAAAATTGTCTGTTTACAGACAACTTGATCCTGTATCTGAAAACCTCCTTCGTCTCAGCCCTAAAGCTTCTTAGGCTGATAAGCAACTTCAGCAAAGTCTTCAGGATATAAAATAAATATGCAAAAATCACAAGCATTCCTATAAACCAACAACAGACAAGCAGAGAGCCAAATCATGAATGAACTTCCATTCACAATCGCTACAAAGAGAATAAAATACCTAAGAATTCAGCTAACAAGGGAAATGAAGTACCTCTTCAAGAAGAACTACAATCCACTGCTCAAGGAAATCAGAGAGAACACAAACAAATGGAAAAACATTCCATGCTCATGGATAGGAAGAATCAACATCATGAAAATGGCCATATTGCTTCAAACTATACTAAAAGACTATAGTAACCAAAACAGTATGGTACTGGCACAAAAACAGATACATAGATCAATGCGACAGAACAGAAAATTCAGAAATAAGACTACACATCTATAATCATCTGATCTTTGACAAACCTGACAAAAACAACAATGGGAAAAGGATTACCTGTTTGATAAATGGTGCTGGGAGAACTGGCTAGCCATATACGCAGAGAATTGAAACTGGACCCTTTCCTTACATCTTATACAAAAATTAACTCAAGATAGATTAAAGACTTAAAATGTAAAACCCCAAACTATAAAAATCCTAGAAGAAAATCTAGGCAATACCACTCAAGACATAGGCATGGGCAAAGATTTCATGACGAAAATGTCAAAAGCAATTGCAACAAAAGCGAAAATTGATAAGTGGGGTCTAATTAAACTAAAGAGCTTCTGCACAGCCAAAGAAACCATAATCAGAGTGAACAGACAATCTACAGAACGGGAGAAAATTTTTGCAACCTATCCATCTGACAAAGGTCTAATATCCAGAATCTACAAGGAACTTAAAACAAATTTACAAGAAAATAAAACAACCCCATTAAAAAGTGGGCAAAGGACATAAACAGACACTTCTCAAAAGAAGACATTTATGTGGCTAACAAACTTATGAAAAAAAGCTCAAAATCCCTGATCATTAGAAAAATGCAAATCAAAACCACAATGAGATACCATCTCATGCCAGTCAGAACAGTGATTATTAAAAAGTCAAGAAACAATACATGCTGGTGAGGTTGCAGAGAAATCGGAATGCTTTTACACTGTTGGTGGGAATGTAAATTAGTTCAACCATTGCGGAAGACAGTGTGGCAATTCCTCAAACACCTAGAACCAGAAATACCATCTGATCCAGCAATCCCATTACTGGGTATATACCCAAAGGAATATAAATCATTCTATTATAAAGATACATGCACACATACTTTTATTGCAGCACAATAACAAAGACATGGAATCAACTCAAATGCCTATCCATGATAGACTGGGTAAAGAAAATGTGGTACATATACACCATGGAATACCAGGCAGCCATAAGAAGGAACAAGATAATGTCCTTTGCATGGACATGGATGGAGCTGGGTGCAAACTAACACAGGAACAGAAAACCAAACACTCCATGTTCTCACTTATAAGTGAGAGCTGAACAATAAGAACACATGGACACAGGGAAGGGAACAACATACACTGGGGCCTGTCAGGGTGGTGGAGAGGGGGAGCATCAGGAAAAATAGCTGATGCATGCTGGGCTTAATACCCAGGTGTTGGGTTGATAGGTGCAGCAAATCACCATGGCACACATTTACCTATGTAACAAACCTGTACATCCTGCACATGTACTCTGGAACTTAAAATAAAAAAATACAAACCCTGGCATATACTCAAAAATATTTGCTGAACTGAAGTCCAAACTGAACTGAAGGAAATCAAGAAACATTAAAGTAGTCACCCATTGAACACCAGTTATGGGGAGCCATCATATTAAAATCATCATATTAAAAGTCGTCATTCTCAAAAACATTTTCCTTATGTTCAAATTATCAAGAGATTAATCACAATGATCACAAATTAGTGCTAAATAACAAATGTCTTAATTTCTATTTTACTTAAAGTCTTTAAAATTTTAGTAATAATGAAATACTTATAAGTAACTGCTGATGCACATTAAAGTGTGAAAACCACGTATTAAAAGCCAGACAAAATAAAATTGATAGCTTAACTAAAACCAAACCACATTTTAAGTCATTTTTCACATAGCTAAAATGACAACATTCCCTTAACAAACCAGAAAGCATGTATTGCATCTGTGTTGGTAGAACGAGCAAACACACATGTGGTCTGATTTATTTCCAGACTGTGAGAAGTTTATTGCAATGCTATAAGGTCCTTCCTCTGAACATTCAGCGTAAGTGCTAAAGCAAAATTCTCCAGCATAAAGGCCTACCTGGAAAGAGAGGTTACAGGGAAAGTGCTCAACCAATTCTATCATTCCCAATACAATTATATTGTAAATAAATTCCACGTGTTTCTTAATCTAGGGGTTGGGAGAAGATTTGACAATAAATCTTTAAGCAGAATACAATTAGATTCCAGTAGGAGTTTCATTCTCATTCTTTACAAAAAGCTTCTCCACTGACCCCAACTCTGGATGTCTACATGGTGAGTTAGTATTCCATAAAAACAGATTCAAATTAACTACATTTGAGCTACTCTAGACTATATTCTTCTTTATTTAGCACCAGGAAGCTAAGTAGTCAGCTTTCTGAAAGAGAAGAAAACATAAAGGGGATTGGGAGAAAGCCTTCTCCTGGAACCACAACTTAATGTGCCCAAAACATCAGCAGAACAAATCAGAGTCCCTTCTTTCATGAAGCTAACAATCTAATGAGACACATGAAATAATCAGGGAACAGAAAATTTTAAACTATGTGGTACCAACTCTAAGTATAGTAGGAAGAGTCACTGTCTTAGAAAGAATTCTCAAGTTTAGTGAGAATGAGATTTAAATCTACCTTATCAATTAATTACTAGCAGTAAAATCTGGAGAGAGGAAGCATGAGAGACCTATATGTGAATTACAGCTAGGATTAATGTGTTTTGCGTTGGAACATTAACGTAAGCTCCGCAATGCCAAGGGTTTTTGTCTGTCTTGTTTACTGCTGTGTCCCCTGAAGTGCTTGGCCACAGGAAATACTCAGTAAGTATTTACTAAATAAATTATGATTATGAATATCTATCTTGTTATGGTCTTGTAAAGCGCCTTGTAGACAGTCATGGGTTTCCTCTGAAGGTGGCAGATACTGTCAGGGTTAGTGATCAAGGAAGAGGCAGGTCTTTGAAGTGGGTGAGAGTATCTATCTCTGATCTCTCACTCTTTAATCTGGGAGCTCCTTGGGGTTGGCACAGAGATGACCAAAAAAGAGGGAAAAGAACAAGTCCTATTTTATAAATGATATTTCCTAAGGCTATGTGATTGTCTCTATTTCCCTTAGGGCCAGGCATTTCTCTGAGTATCTTCCATGGGATGTTAATAGGTGTCTAAGATCAGGGAGGCCTTTCCTGACTAACCTAGTCACTCTCTAATTGTCCTAGTTTATTTTCTCATACGAGACATGAGAACAACTTTACCTTCTACTACCTTAATTTGTTTGTGTGTTTTGCTATCCACGTCCCTCCACTAGAACGTAAATTCTATAAAAGCAGGGGCCTTAGTGTGTTGTCTGGGATGCTAGAGAGTTTTTCTCACTGTTGATGCTCTCTCTACTTTCAACTTTCAGCAGTCCCTAAACACTAGGACTATGTGGAGGGGGTGGGAGGAGTCTCTTGTAGCTACTGCTCCTCCTCAAGCAGTACACTCCTACTGCTTGTTACTCAGCATTAGGCTTTTGGTGGGAGCACGTGGGATTCTTAGTCCTTCTTAGGCTAAGCCTGTGTACCTGAGCCTCTGAGGTAGGGTCTTCTCATTTTCCTGCCCCTCCTCAATCCTGTGGCTACCAAATTCTACTTTGAATTGGTGGAAGCTCTTGGGCAAAAGAGTTTCCAGCTTCTCCTTTAGTGGTAGCAGACCTCCGCTTTGTATTGGTGCAGAATCGAGAGACCAAGAGGCTTTTCTGCCTCTCCCATATATGGCCTTTATTTCTACTTCTTCCCCAGTGGGTATTTGCCTGAGTCCTCTTAGTAAGGGAGAGAGTTCCCTCTCCAAGAGGCAGATGGGTTTTGCTTCTACCTCTCCCCAGGAAGTAACAGAAGTTCACCTAGGCCCTGGGGATGAGAGGGTTTGCTGCTCCTCCATTGTGAGTATTAAAAAAGTTCTGAGAAAAAGCCAGTGCTTCAGGTGTCTTGCCAAGTCAACAAATCAACTTTTGCATGCTCAGCCACTGAGGTGGGCTCTCTTCCATCTCCTGAACTACCTCCAAACTTTTTTTGGGAGAAAATCAGTGGAGGCCCATGGAAAAGAACCCGCACGTGAATGTCAACTCTGTGTTCTGGGGATCCCAGTTACTAAACTGATACTTTAGCCCATACTTGGTGCCTTTAAGAAATGCATTCAACTTTTAATTGATTTCTTTTTACCCATTTTGTTGACAGCTACCTCTTCCTCCCATGCTCTTCCAAAGGTAAAACAGTTTATGTATCTTATCTCTTTTTAGAGGGGCTTGCTACTCTGAAATTCAGTTCAATTGGTTGTTTTACAAACTCAGTTCACTAATGGATTCAAGAGAGGTTATAATTTTTAAGATTATATAGCCTTTATTCATTGCTAAAATAGAAATGATGGTCTCTTGAGGATTTATTTTATTAAGGAAAGCAGCAGTTTTTAGCCATTTAATATTTTTTTCTCAATCCTTGGTCCTTTAAAATATGAGTTAAGTTTTTGTTGTTAAGTCCATTCCAGTTCTAAATTTCTGATTCTGAGACCACAGAAAGGAAATATAAAGCTGGAGTTATCAGGACAAGAGAATAAGAAACTAAACCTGGCTATGAGGTAGTCACTGGCCACTGAGAGGCAGAAACCTAAAGAAATGATTATGTTAAAATGTGTGGTGAAGGAGATATAGTTTACATTAAAAAAAACATAATGGGAATTTAGTGTGGGGAGTGGGAGAAGCTTGAAGAGGAAAAATAGGATGATCTGGCCAAGAAAAGTATCACAAGGCATAAGCTGAACTGACCCTTGAAGTAATTATCTAAGTAGACAAACAGAAGGGGAGTATATTCAAGGTAAAGGGAGGCAAACAGACCTTAGAAATGTCTAGGGCTGGCTGTGCACAGTGGCTTATGCCTGTAAATCCTAGCACTTTGGGAGGATGAGGTGGGCAGATCACCTTAGGCCAGGAGTTCGAGACCAGCCTGGCCAACATGGCAAAACCCCATCTCTACGAAAAATACAAAAATTAGCCCGGTGTGGTGGCACATGCTTGTACTCCCAGCTACACGGGAGGCTAAGGCAGGAGAATTGCTTGAACCCAGGAAGCGGAGGTTGCAGTGAGCCAAGATCGTGCCACTGCACTCCAGCCTGGGTGACAGAGTGAGACTCCGACAAAAAAAAAAAGAAAGAAAAAGAGAGAGAGGAAGGAAGGAAGGAAGGAAGGAAGGAAGGAAGGAAGGAAGGAAGGAAGAAAATGTCTAGGGCTGAAGTATGGGGAGGAAGTTCCAGAAGATGAGAATTAAGAGCAAAAATTTAAGAGTCAGACAGACCTGAGTTTGAAACTTGACCTACCACTTAAAGACTATGTGACTTTGGATAGTTGAGTAAGCCTTTTAAACTGCATTTTATCAGTCTGTCAAATAGAAGTATTCATGCCTACTCCTCAGGGTTGTTGTGAGGATTAAATGAGATAATCTAAGTAAGGCACTTAGCTAAACACATCTGGAACACATCTGTGCTGAATACATAATGGCTGTTACTACTGATAGTAATGGTTCTCCATCACAGAGTAGTAGTAGCACTACACATCCTCTGCAGCCCTATTCATTTGGGACTTTTCTAGAAACCTGAAGGAGCCAGAGGGTCACATGCTTTAGGAAAACATTTGTCTCCCTGTGGCTCGAGAATAATTCTCTTCTTCCTTAAGGTACTACAGTTCCTATCTCCTCATTGGCACAAAAACTAGAATATATATTTAAAAGTAGCTACGAAGAAAGACCTTCCTACTAGAAAACAGTAAGTAATAATTTATGCCTGACAAGTAGGAAAAACTACTAATTTCATCTGTTTCTCTGCCTCTATGTGAGAAGGAAAGCAGACAAAAAAGGGATAGGCTAAAACATCATTCTTATTTACAAGGTAGAGTTTAGCCCAGGTTTACATAATGCAAATACAGTGAAACACAGACAATATATTGTTAGGCAAGGACTTCATTTCTGCACCGAGAACTGAGGTTTAATCCATTCCTCCAGCATCCAAGTACTCAGGTTGTTGTTATTTATTGTTTTGTTTTCATGTCTTCGGTTACCAGAGCCTGCAGTAGCTCTCCAGACACTTAGGAATCCTAAAAAGGCTTGGAAATTGCCCTTCAAGTGTTGCTAAGGAGTTAACTATATCGCCTGAAACTCATTCCCTGGGCTATCCCCTCCTCACTCTGCTTAATCACTTCTAAGTAATTTAACCTAGAAAATACCCTAGGTTCCAAGTCTTTGCTATTGTGAATAATGCCGCAATAAACATACGTGTGCATGTGTCTTTATAGCAGCATGATTTATAGTCCTTTGGGTATATACCCAGTAATGGGATGGCTGGGTCAAATGGTATTTCCAGTTCTAGATCCCTGAGGAATCACCACACTGACTTCCACAATGGTTGAACTAGTTTACAGTCCCACCAACAGTGTAAAAGTGTTCCTATTTCTCCACATCCTCTCCAGCACCTGTTGTTTCCTGACTTTTTAATGATTGCCATTCTAACTGGTGTGAGATGGTATCTCATTGTGGTTTTGATTTGCATTTCTCTGATGGCCAGTGATGATGAGCATTTTTTCATGTGTTTTTTGGCTGCATAAATGTCTTCTTTTGAGAAGTGTCTGTTCATATCCTTCGCCCACTTTTTGATGGGGTTGTTTGTTTTTTTCTTGTAAATTTGTTTGAGTTCATTGTAGATTCTGGATATTAGCCCTTTGTCAGATGAGTAGGTTGCAAAAATGTTCTCCCATTCTGTAGGTTGCCTGTTCACTCTGATGGTAGTTTCTTTTGCTGTGCAGAAGCTCTTTAGTTTAATTAGATCCCATTTGTCAATTTTGGCTTTTGTTGCCATTGCTTTTGGTGTTTTAGACATGAAGTCCTTGCCCATGCCTATGTCCTGAATGGTAATGTCCAACAATGATAGACTGGATTAAGAAAATGTGGCACATATACACCATGGAATACTACGCAGCCATAAAAAATGATGAGTTCATGTCCTTTGTAGGGACATGGATGAAATTGGAAATCATCATTCTCAGTAAACTATCGCAAGAACAAAAAACCAAACACCGCATATTCTCACTCATCGGTGGGAACTGAACAATGAGATCACATGGACACAGGAAGGGGAATATCACACTCTGAGGACTGTTGTGGGGTGGGGGGAGTGGGGAGGGATAGCACTGGGAGATATACCTAATGCTAGATGACGAGTTAGTGGGTGCAGCGCACCAGCATGGCACGTGTATACATATGTAACTAACCTGCACAATGTGCACATGTACCCTAAAACTTAAAGTATAATAAAAAACAAAAAAAAAAAAAAAAAGAAAATACCCTAGGTCAGTGGTTGTCAAATTTTTAAGCCTATATCAGAACTACATATAGGGCTTGTTAAAACATAGAATGCAAGGTTCTACTCTTGGAATTTTTGACTCATTATGGGGCAGGGCCCTAAAATCGGCGTTTCTAACTTGTTCCAGGTGATGCTGATGCTACTGGGGCTAGGACCACACTTTGAGGATCACTACCCTAGGAAGCTTTTGTTTTCACAGAGTGGTGTACCTTCCAGGTACCTAAAGGGTGAGTCAAGAGACCAGTCACTGGCCTACAGAAAGAACTGTGTGAACCAGATACAAGTACATAAATAATAACATGGTAAGCCATGTGCTGAAAAAAGATGATTTGTTCTTCCAACAGTTTTCAAAAGGGGTTGAATCTGCAGGTTTAACTTGGGGGTAGGTGGAAAGTGCTGGCAGGTCAACCTTTTTATTCATATTATTTTCTCTAGATCCTGGGAGCACAGAGCCAATTTTTCCAAGCCCATCGACAGATCTACCCTGCCTCCTATACCAAGACAGGGTATTCCCAGAAGTACAATCCCTAAGGACAAATATCCTGACCTCTCCGCAAAGTCATTCCTCTCAGAACTAAAAGAGGTTACTCACATTCTCAGGTGAATATTTTCAATGCCTTAGGAAACAAGCATGTGCTGTTGCTATTCTTTTGAATGTCCTGTGTATGATTATGTTGGTCTTTTTTTTTCATCCACTCTCTTATTTTTAAGGCCAAATACGAGAAAAAAATTGGGGCTAGAATAAGGACAATGAAAAACTTGGGCCCTGTCTCTAGTTCCAACACTACTTGCTCTGTAACCTTAGGCATCCAATCTCTCTCACTTTTACACTCGTCATTCATAAAATAAAATGCCCAGTGAAAACTGACTGCAGAGTTCTATGCCACAGATTCTGATGCTCAGTTCAGAAGTTTACATAATTCCAAAACAAATACATCAGAAGACCATTGTCAAACCAGTAGTTTCACTTAAAAGTTATTCCATCTGTTCAGTGTTTGCTGGGGGTTAAAAAATAAAAAGCTATTACTGATTCCATCTTCTTTTCCTGTCTTTATCCTATTTTCATTTTAATAAAAAGCAGATAATTATTAAGTCCAAGAGGAATTAGTCTATTTCAGTATCCAGGTGCACAAACATAACCATCAACTCATTTTTATATAATAAATGAAGAACTTATGTGTTTATCTGAAACATAGAGGGGAAAAAACACAGTGGGGGAAAAACAGCAGGAGGACAAGAAATTCATTCTCATAATTTAGTTGAAAAGGGCCTTTAAAACCAATGAATTAAGTTTGCAAGTTCAGTGATAGTTTACTTCTTACTGTAATTCTGACATAAAAATATTATCTGGGTACAAATGCCCAGTTTAAGAAAAATTCAGTAACCCTCTCATCATTAACACAACCAAATTATACTTAAAAAACTGATATAGTAAAAAAATTCAACATTTGTTTTTATATAAAGAACATTTTTTTCTCTATACTGCACTGATGAATTCTTATTTTTATATCATGAATTTCCTGTTTTCATAGCAAAATAAACATAATTCACATTTATTTAGCATAACATATACTTTAAAATGTTTTACTTCACACGAATAGATATTTAAATTAAAAGTACTCTGATATAACATATTAAGACACTGTTAGTGAGGCTGTGGTAAAAACAGATATTCTTCTACGTCACTAGCAAGAATGGGAATGGTACAACCCTTATGAGGGAAAAGTGGTAATATTTAACAAGATAGTATATAGCAATCCACTTCTGCAATGTAGAAAAAATACAAAAGATATAAGCACAAAGTTTTTTCACTGCAGGATCATTTATAACCAGAGATTGGAAACAACATAATAATTCATCAGTAAGGAACTGGCCGAATAAACCATGGCATACGTAAGCAATGAATTTACAGGAAACTGTAGAAAGGGAAGAAAAGTATCTCTATGTACTGGTAAGGAGTAATCCTACAGCTATATCATTATGTGAAAAAATAGGGTGGAAAAGTATATACTATATTTTTGTTTACGTAAGAAATATATATATATAAAATTCATAGTTGCTTATATCAAAAAGGTTAAAATTTTAAAGTTACCAATGAAAGGAGAAAAAACAGTATTGAGGAGACAGAAATAGAAGCTGAAATTTATCTGAATACATCTTGTTTTAATAGATTCAACTTGAACTATGTAAATGTCTACATAATTATAAAATCAAATAAAAACTTTGTAAAACTATAAAAAATAAAATTAAAACAAATTAACCAAAATTTGTGTCCAGTTGGTAGCATAATCACACATAGAAAAACTATTCCACGTGACTTTAAAAAACACTAATATGGCTATACATTATTATTAGGATATACCGTAAAGATAGTTGCCAAAACAAATCTTAAACAATTTCCAGGAATCATATTGGTAGTGGTAGTGTTGATACTGTTTTTCTGAAACTATTAATAGTCTGTATACATTATAAGATAATGTGAGTAATTATGTGATATTTTAATTCCTACATTCCCAGTGTCATTGAGAGTGGTATTTTCAGCATAAAAGAAACGAAACATGAATGTTAACATTAGACTAGGTTTAATTTAAACAAACATCTGTAGTCCTGAATCTGAATTGGAAATCAATATAAACTCAGTCATGACATACTTTTTCTCTAAAGATAATTTGCCTTATGATGTGCACTGAAAAGACTTGGAAATGATGAACAACCTAGTAGAAATGAATGACCCTCATCCCCAAATGTAGTCTTGGAGAAATACCTGATTTCAGGTCTGAAGTAGGAAATATACAAGATGAACCAAGAACATCTTGTCATATTAAAAATACTCTTTTAAGCAATCCTGTATACCAAAGAAGAAATCAAAAAGAAAATTAGAAAAGTGTTGTAAACTTAATGAAAAGAAAAACATACTACATCTCAGAATTTGTGGAATACCAATAAAGTAGTACTTAGGGAGAAATTTATGGTATTCAATGCCTAAATTAGAAAAGACCTTAAAACAATTACCTCAGTTCACACCTTAAGAAACTTAAAAACAAAAGCAAATTAAGTGCAAAATATGAAAAGTAATAATATCAGAGTGGAAATCAATGAAATAGAAAACAGAAAAGTAATAAAGAAAATAAATGAACTATAAGCTGGTTCTTTAAGAGTACTCATAAAATTGTAAAAACTTTGCTAGACTGTTCAGGAATATGAGAAAATACACTAATATTACACTATATATTATATAATACTAATATATACAATATACTATATAAGACATTAATACTATAATTACTAATATCAGGAATTCCAAAGGTAACATTGCTACAGATGCTACACAGGTTAAAAGGATAAGGGAATATTATGAAAAACTATATGGCTATAAATTAGATAACTTAACTGAAATGGAAAAAATATCCTTGAACTACATAATCAACACAGCTTACTCAAAAAGAAACAACCTGAATAGTATTATTAAGGAAATTGAATATTTAGTTAAAGCCTTCCCACAAAACAAACAAAGGAACAAAAACTCCACGCCCAAACAGCTTAACAGTTGAATTCTACCAAATACTAATGAAAGAAATAAAACTAATTCTATACAAACTCTTCCAGAAAATTTAAGGGGAGAGAATAGCTCCCAATCCAATCAAAAGGCCAGCATTATTACCCTGTTATCAGAGCCAAAGACATTATACCAAAAGAAAAGTGCAGAACCAACACCTCTCATGAATACAGAGGTAAAAATTCTAAAAATACCCATCAGCAAACTGAATACAACAATATATGAAAAGGATATTACATCATGACCAAGTGAAGTTTATCCCAAGAATGCAGTCATTTTAACATTAAAAATTAATCAATATAATTCACATAGTACAAATTTAAAAAGAAAAATCATATGATCATCTCAATAGGTAGTGATGGTGAAAAGCATTTGACAAAATGTAATACTCATTCATGATAAAAAGTCAGTAATCCAGATATAGAAGTGAACTTCCTCTTTCCTCCTAATATTAGGAATAAAACAAAGAGGTCCACTAGAACCACTTCTCTTCAACATTTAACTGCAGATTTTGGCCAGATAAATCAGGCAAGGAAAGGAAATAAAGGGCATCTAGATTGTAAGGAAGAAGTAAAACTGTGCTTGTTCACAGATGACATGGTAGTCTATGTGGAAAGTTCAATGGAACCTACAAAAACAATCCATTGAAGCTAACAAGTGAGTTTAGGAAGGTTGCAGGATATAAGACATATATATATATACACATACACAAACACACACATATATATCAATATCAATTGTATTTCTACATATAGACAACACACATTCAAAAAAATGAAAGAAGGGGCCAGGCGCAATGGCTCACGCCTCTAATCCCAGCACTTTGGGAGGCTAAGGCAGGCGGATCATGAGGTCAGGAGATGGAGACCATCCTGGCTAACACGGTGAAACCCCATCTCTACCAAAAATACAAAAAATTAGCCAGGCGTTGTGGCGGGTGCCTGTAGTCCCAGCTACTTGGGAGGCTGAGGCAGGAGAATGGCGTGAACCCGGGAGGCGGAGCTTCCAGTGAGCGGAGACTGTGCCACTGCACTCCAGCCTGGGCGACAGAGTGAGACTCCGTCTCAAAAAAAAAAAAAAAAAAGAAAAAAGAAAGAAAGATATTGTTTACACTAGCAATAAAATATGAAATACTTAGGGTAAATATGAAAAAAGATATAAAGCACCAGTACACCGCAAACTACAAAACACTGTTGAGAGTTATTAAAGAAGACCTAAATAATGGAGAAATATATCTTGTTCCTATGTTGAGTCAATATTGTTAAGATATCAATTCTGCCTCAACGATCTATAGATTCAGTGCAATTCCAATCAAAATCCCAGTAGGTAGTCTGCAGAAATCAAACAGAGTATGTTTTCCAATTAAAATAGAAGTAAATTAAGAACTAATAACAGAAAGACACTAGGGAAGTGCCCATAAAACAATAACCCATAGGTATAAAAAAGAAATCATGGGGATATTAAAAAACATTTTGAATGGGATGTAAACAAAAACACATATGTAAAAATGAATTCACATATCCAATTTTATGAAATGCAGCTAAAACAGTGTTTTAAAAAGTTGAGACTTTTTAGACATATTAGAAAACACAAAAGGTCTAAAATCAATAATCTGAGTTTTCATTGTAAGAAACTAGAAAAAGGAGAATAAAATCCAAAATACATGCAAAGAAGGAAATAATGAAGAATGAAGGTCATTAAAATAGAGATTCCTGTTCCTGATTATGCTAGAATAATTTAATCTAACAACAAAATAAGAAAAAATATATAAAACAAAAATTTTCAGACATTGGACAACAGAAACACAGAACAATGATTCCTAAGAAAAGAGAAAAAAATGAGGTGAGGTCTAAGATTGTCCCAGATAGCAGCCTAGACAGAGATTCTATTGCACAGGGCAGGGAATAAGAAGCTAAACAGAGCCCAGCTTGAGGAGACAGAGTTGAGAAATCAAGGAGGCCAACTTAGATAGAATTCACAAAACAGAGTGCCTTGAGAAAAGAGCTGTCCAGAGAAAGAGCTCAGAGATCTGCAAAGTATTCCTCACAAGTTTTATCTGAGAACTGATCAGTGCATGTATGCGAGGAAATTACCTGAGGCTGGGAAAATAGCCACTAGGAAAAAGCAGGTAGGACAATACTCTAAAACTCATAGGGCTGGGAAGAATTCATGTACCCAAAAGCCAAAGTAGAGAAACCTAATGAATATAAGGCAAAGATGACGTGATTGTTGCTAAGGCAGAAAATTCTAATGAATCTCGAGAAATGCTACCAGATAAGTGAATTTAATATGGTCACTGGATACAAGATACATATACACACACACACACACACGTATATATGCGTGTCCGTAGACACACATATATACACACACATATATATACATATACACACACTATGATTCATTCCACATACTACCATTGAACAACTGGAATTTGAAATCTAAGAACTGTGCCATTTACAACAGCATCAAACAATATAAAACACCTAAGAATTTGACAAAAATGTGCAAGACATTGAGAACGATACAATACTGAGAGAAATAAAAACTCATTGAAATAAATGAAGAGATACCATGTTCATGGATAGAAAGACTCAATATTGCTAAAATGTTGATTTTACCCACACTGATATAAATGAAATGCAATCACTATTGAAATCAGCAGCATTATTATTGTAGAAATTGTCAAGCTGATTCACAAAATATATGAAAGCTTATAGGACCTAAAATAGCCAAATTTGAAAAATGAAAACAAAGCTAAAGGACTTGCAGAACATGTTTTAAAACATATTTTAAAGTTACTATAATCAGAAAAGGGTCATATTGGCATGAAGAACAGCACAGAATCCAAAGTAGACTAACACTTACATACCCAATTGATTGTAAACATACCTTGTTTTATTGTGCTTTACTTTATTGTACTTTGCAGATATTACATTTTTTACAAATTGAAACTTTGTGGCAATCCTGCATCAAGCAAGTCTATCAGCACCATTTTTTTCCAACAGCATATGATCACTTCACATTCCCATCACATTTTAATAATCTCACATATTTCAAACATTTTCATTATTATTACTATTTTATCTGTTGTGATCTGTGATCAGTAATCTTTGATGTTACTATTGTAATTGTTTTGGGGCACTGTGAATTAACACATGAGTGATAAGAACGTGATATAGCCTTATTGCTGATACGGGGAAAGTTTTAGGGATCAGGACAGATCAAACCAGCCACAACATTCCCTTAAGCCAAAGCCTAATCCAGAGCAAGGCTCTAAATCTCTTCAATTCTATGAAGGCTGAGATCAGTGAGTAACCTGCAGAAGAAAAGTCTGAAGCTAGCAGAGGTTGGTTCATGAGATTTAAGGAAAGAAGCTAACTCCATAACATAAAAGTACAAGGTGAAGCACTACATGCTGATGTGGAAGCTGTAGCAAGTTATCTAGAAAATCTAGCTAAGATAATTGATGAAAATGGCTACACTAAACAACCAAATTTTAATGTAGATGAAACAGCCTTATATTGGAAGAGAATGCCATTTAGGACTTGCATAGCTAGGGAGAAGTCAATGTCTAGCTTCAAAAGACAAGCTGACTCCTTTGTTAGGGGCTAATGCAGCTGGTGACTTTAAGTTGAAGCCAATGCTTATTTACCATTCTGAAATTACTTTCTGCTAAATCTACTCTGCTTGTGCTCTATCATTGGAGCAACAAAGTGTGGGTGACAGCATATCTGTTTACAACATGTTTTATTAAATATTTTAAGTCCATTGTTAAGACATATTGCTCAGAAAAATAGATTCCTTTCAAAACATTACTGCTCACCGATAATGCACCTAGTCACCCAAGAACTCTGATGGAAATGTACAAGGAGATGAAGGTTGTTTTCATGCTGGCTAACAAAATATCCACTCTGGCAGTGCATGGATCAAGAAATAATTTTGACTTTCAAGTCTTATAGCTGCCATAGACAGTGATTCCTCTGATGGATCTGGGCAAAGTAAACTGAAAGCTTTCTGAAAAGGATTCACCATTCTAGATAGCATTAAGAACATTTGTGATTCATTTGAGGAGGTCAAAATATCAATATTAATAGGAGTTTGGAAGAAGTTGATTCCAACCCTCATGGATGACTTTGAGGAGTTCAAGACTCCAGTGGGGGAAGTCACTGCAAATGTGGTAGAAACAGCAAGATAATTAGAAGTGGAGCCAGAAGATGTGACTGAATTGCTACAATCTCACAATAAAGTTGCTTCTTAAGGATGGGTAGAGAAAGTGGTTTCTTGACGTGGAATCTACTCCTTGTAAAGATGCTGAAATGACAACAAAGGACTTAGACTTAATTGATAAAGCAGTAGCAGAATTCCATAAACTTAACTGATAAATCAGTAGCAGAATTTGAGAGGACTGACTTCAATTTTGAAAGAAGTTCTGTGGGAAAAATGCTATCAAACAGTATTGCATGCTACAGAAAAATCTTCCGTGAAAGAAAGTCAATGTCTCAAATTTCATTGTTGTCTTATTTCAAGAAATTGCCACAGCCAACCAACCTTCGGCAACCACCATCCTTATTAGTCAGCAGCCAACAACACTGAGACAAGACCCTCCACAAACAAAAAGTTTGTATGATTGGTTGCATTTTTAAAAAGCAATAACATATTTTAAAATAAAGGTATACAAATTGTTTTTTAAAGTTATAATGCTGGACTGGGTGTGGTGGCTCACACCTGTAATCCCAGCACTTTGGGGGCTGAGCTGGGCAGGTTCCTTGAGCCAAGGAGGTTGCAACTAGGCTGGGCAACATGGCAAAACTGTTACTACAAAAAATAAGAAAAAATTAGCTTGGCATGGTGGCACACACTTGGAGTCCCAGCTACTCAGGAGGCTGAGGTGGGAGGATCACTTGAGTCCTAGAGGTGGAGGATGCAGTGAACCAAGATCGCACCACTGCACTCCAGCCTGGGCAACAGACCAAGACCCTGTCTCCAAAAAAATAAAAAGAAAAAAGAAAAGAAAGAAAATATATAATGCCATTGGCACACTTAATAGACTACAATATAATTTATACATAACTTTTATATGCACTGGGAAACCAACAAATTCATGCAACTCACTTTAATATTTGCCTTTTTTGGCAGTCTGTAATTGAACTTGCAATATCTCTGAGGTATGCCTGAATTTGACAAAGGTACAAAGGCAATTAAAAGGGAAAGGATAATTTGCTCAAAAATGATGCTGGAACAACTGAATAGCCATGCACAATAAAAATGAACACTGACCCTTATTTCATAAAATATATAAAAATTAACTCAAAATGGATCATAGTTTTAAATGTAAAATCTGAAACTATAAAACTTCTAAAAGAAAACATAGAAGGAAATTTTGACTTTGGATATAGAAAAAAATTAAATAGAACACAGAATGAACAAACTCAAAGAAAAAATGATAAATTGGACTTCATTAAAATTTAAAACTTGGCTCTTTGAAAAACATTGTTATGAGAGAAAGGCAAGTTATATACTAGGGTAAAATATTCACATGCCATATGCCCAGCAAGGCATTTATATATAGAACTGTGCTGCCAGTAGAATTTTCTGAAATTATGGAAATATTTTATATCTGCACTAATAGAAAGCCACTACTCATATTTGGCTAAATGAGCTCTTGAAATGTGTTTAGAGTGACTTGGGAACTGAATTTATATATTCAATTTTAGTTAACTTGAATTTAAATTGCCAGTGGTTAGTGCCTACCATACTGGATAGCACAGATTTGGAACATATGAAAAACACTTAAAACTCAACAGTAAGAAAAAAAAAACCCAACACAAAATGAGGAGATGTGAACTGGCTCTTTTTTTAAAGATTATCTAGGGATATCAACTAAGCTCATGAAAAGATGCTCAACATCATTAGTTATCAGGGGAACACAAATTAAAACCACAAAGAAATATAAGAATGCACACATAGAATACTTAAAATTAGAAGTTCTGACCAGAGCAAGTGTTGACGAAGATGTGGAGCAACTGTAACATTCACACACTGCTAGTGGAATATAAAATGATACAACCACATTAGAAAATAATTTGGCAGTTCGTAATATATACAACTACCTTACAACCCAGCCATTCCACTTCTTGGTACTTATTGAGAGGTTTGAAAGCATATGAAGTAAGAGTACACACAAATACTTGTACATGACTGTACAAAGCAACTTTATTTTTAATCATAAAATTTAAAAAACCCTACTGTCTACTAACACATAAAAGAAATAAAGAGGTTTTGGTATACCTACACAGTGCAATAGTACCCAGTAATAAAAAGTAGCATGGTATTTATATAAAATTCTCAGAAATGCAAACTAACCTATCAAGTAGCTCACTGATTGCCTGAGGATAGGTTGGCAGTATCAAGGAAGGATGGATTGCAAAGGCGCACAAGGAAACCTTTGGAGGTTATGAAAATGTTCATTATCTTGATCATAATGTTGGTATATAACATATAAAAATTCATCAAAATCACACACTTTATGTGTGCTTTATTGTACATAATTATACTTCAATAAATCTCTCAAAAATAAATCAATGAAATATAAAGTCAACACAATATAGAAAAGCTACAAAACTAGAAGCTGGTTCTTTGAAGAGATAAAATTCATATGCCTTTAACTAGACAGATCTAGGGGGAAAAAAGAGAATTTGGAAATTACCAACATCAAGAATGAAAGAAGGAACATTATAGCTCCTACACACATTAAAAACATAATTAAAATATTATGCATAACTCTGCATCAATTCACAACTAGGATGAAACAGACACATTCCTTGAAAGACACAAATTACCCGAACTGACTCAAGAAGAAACTGAATACTCACTAGTTCCATATCTATTAAATAAACATCATAATTAAAAATCTTCCCACAAACAAAACTCAACCCTAGATAACTTCAATGATAAATTCTACCCAACATTTTAGGAAGAAATAATGACATTCCTTCATACAATCTTTCAGAAAAAGGAAGTGACAGTTCCCAACCCATTTTATACCAAAACCAGACAAGATAATACAGGAAAACTACAGATCTCTATCTCTCATGAACATAGACTGAAAAATACTCCATAAGCCCACAACCCCTTTCTAACCACAAGAAAATATCAGACAAATCCCAATTGGAGAACATTCCAATTAACTGACCGGTCTTACCCCAAATTGTCAAGGAACAAGGAAGGTCTAAGAAAAACTCACAGTTTAGAAAAACTAAGAAAACATGATGACTAAATCTAACGTGGTATTCTAGATAGGATCCTGGTATAGAAAAAGTACTCTAGGTAAAAGCTAAGGAAATCTGAATATAGTATGACCTCTAGTCGATAATGTAATATTGGTTTATTAGTTATAACAAGTATACTGTAACATTGTAAGATGCTAAAAATATAGTACACTGGTTGAGAAATCTGCAAAAACTCTGTAATATTCTTGCAACTTTTCTGTAAATCTGAAATTATTCCAAAATAGAAATTTATTAAAAAAAATCAGTGGAATCAACCACATTAAGACTAAAACAAAGAAAAAAAAACCCAACAACATGATCATCTCAAAGTTGCAGAAAAAAGCATCTGATGAAATTTAACACACATTCGTGATTTAAAAAAAACACCTCACATACTGGAATTAAAGGATACTTCCTCCACTTTATAAAGAACACCTACCAAAAAATCCTAAAGCAAACATCATACTTAATGGTGAAAGACTGAATATTTCCCTACTTAAGATCAGCAATAAAGACAATACGTCTGCTCTTACCACTTTCGACAATACAGTAGAAGTTTTAGTACACTGAGGCAAGCGAAGGAAATAAAAATCAAACAAATTAGAGTGGAAGAAGTAAAACCATTTTTATTCACAAAGGGAATGAATGTGTATGTAGAATATCCTGAAAAATCTACATTAAAGCTAATAGAACTTTTTTAGATTAAAGAATAGGTCAATAACAAAAAAATCAACTGTATTTCTATATATTAGCAATGGACAAATGAATATGAAATAAAAAAGTCATAATATCGACAAAAACATGAAGATTTATTAGAAAGCTAAGTAATCAAGATATTATAATATCAGTAAGGAGAGACATGTAGACTGATGGAAAAGAATTGCATCTAGAAGTAGATGTATACATATATAGCCAATTGATTTTCTACAAAGGTTCCAGAGTGAAAACGTATGTACTTTTTGGGAAAGTACATTGGGAAAAGAAATTGTATTTCAATCAATTTCTTTGATTGCAAAGAAATTGCAGTTGATACTGCAACAACTGGATATCCATAGGAAAAATAATAATCCTCTACCCTTATTTTATACCATAGACAAAATTAATCAAACTTGATCCCAGACTTAGTAGAAAAGAACACAGGATAACATCTTTGAGACTTTCAAGTATTCAAATGTTTCTAAGATAGGACACAAAATCAATAAGCTTTACAGCTTTATAGAAAAAAATTAATTAGACTTTATCATAATTAAAAACTTCTGCATCTCTAAAAGTACTGTTAAGAAAATGAAAAGACAGATTTAGGGGAAACATCTGATTATATATATTTGACAAAGGACCTATATCCAAAATACATAAAAACTCTTTCAACTCTACAAGTTTACACATTAAAAAATGGGCAAAAGGTTGAAACAGATCACTTCACAAAGAAAAACATACAAATGGGCAGTAATTTTATAAAATGATGCACAATATTATTTGTCTTCAAGAAAATGCAAATTAAAACCACAAAGGGATGGCACCATACACCCACCAGATGGCTAATTTTTTTTTTCTTTTCTTTCGAGATGGAGTCTTGTTCTTGGCTCACTGCAACCTCCGCCCCTCATGTTCAAACGATTCTCCCACCTCAGCCTCCCGAGTAGCTGGGACTACAAGCATGCACCACCACACTTGGCTAATTTTTTCATATTTTTAGTAGAGACAAGGTTTCACCATGTTAGCCAGACTTGGCTGAAATGTTTTAAGGTGTCAAGCCAAAATGTTGGTCTTGGCTAAAATGTCTTAAGCTATTATTACTAAGTTTTGGTGAGGATGTGAAACAACTGGAATTCTCATACATCGTTGATAGGTATGTTAAATGGTACGACTACTTTAGAAAATAGTTCTGGTGATTTCTTTTAAAGTTAAACAAACATTACATGACCTAGTAATTCAACTCTTAAGATATTTACCCAACAGAGTGAAGACATACATCCACATAAAGATCTCACAAATGTTGATAGCAGCTTTCTTCATAGCAGCCCCAAATATCTCAAATATCTCTCAACAGAATAAACTAATTGTTGCATATCCATAAAATGGAATACTAGTTGGCAATATCAAAACAGAACAAACTTCTGATACATACAACATAGATGAATCTCAAAAAAATCCTGCTGAGCCAAAAGGGACTAACACAAAAGAAATATATAAGACAAAAAGAGGGATATTTCCATTTGATAAAAGGTATAACACACCAAAAGATCCTAAACTTTATGGACCTAACAATATATGTTCAAAACACAGAAAGCAAGAAACTAATAAGAAGAAATTTACAAGTCCACAACATAAGTGGGAAACATTTCACAGCCCTTTTAGCAAATGACAGAGCAAGAGGACAAAATATTAGGAAGGATATTGATGATTTACATAATCAATAACATACTTTTAAAACATATAATAGAGTACTCATAAAAACTTAGCTACATTGTCAAGTCATAAAAAAATTTTAAAATCAGATACGATACAACCATATTCTCTGATACAAGCCATAAACTTAGGTATCTACATTAAAAATTATGGCCATAAAAGAAAACAAAACCAAATAAAACAACATTTTAACTGACTGCTTTATACTAGGAAATATCTAAAGATAAGTAAATAAAAGAATTACACTAAGCAGTGTAATTTATAGAAAGAATTGTTGGCCTCCAGAGTTAGAGATAAAAGTCAGTGATTGGTAAGTGGCAGAATCATTTCTGAACCATTGTGTCACTTTCATTTAAAGTGATGATCTCTGATCTGTCCACATGGAGCCAGAACAGACAGAACCTTATGGCCACCATGATATTATAATAGTAACAGTTAAGTTTCTTAAACCTAGTCCTTGGTACAGTCTTTATCTTATCAGATAGAAAACTCTCAAAACAGGCAGTCTAATATGATGGCTAAGGTAACAAATTTTAGAGTCAGAGAGAAGTAAATTTAAATTTCAACTCCATTACTTAATAGTTGTGAGAACGAAGGCTATTTTTTTTTTTTTTTGAGACAGCATTTCGCTCTGTTGCCCAGGCTTGAGTGCAGTGGCATGATCTCAGCTCACTGCAACTTCTGCCTCCCAGGTTCAAGCAATTCTCTTGCCTCAGCCTTCCGAGCAGCTGAGATTACAGGTGTGTGTCACCACACCCAGCTAACTTGTATTTTAGCAGTGATGGGGTTTCACCATGTTGGCCAGGATGTTCTCGATCTCTTGACCTCATGATCCACCTGCCTCAGCCTCCCAAAGTGCTGGGATTACAGGCGTGAGCCACCACACCCAGCCAGCTATTTTAAATCTCTAAGATTAAATATCTTTATTTGTAAAATGAAAAAGCCATTCAACAATGTATACACAATGTACTTAGTTTAGAACCTGGCACCTGGTAAGCACTCCGTTTAAATTAAAGCAATTATTAATACAGGTTGAGCATCCCTGATCTGAAAATCCACAATCTGAAATGCTCCAAAATTGGAAACAATTTGAGCGCCTACACGATGGCATAAGTGGAAAATCCCATACTTGATCTCATGTGACAAGTCACAGCCAAAATGCAGTCAAAACTTTTCTTTATGTGCAAAATTATTTAAAATATTATATAAAATTACCCTCAGGCTACATTTATAAGGCATATATAAAACATAAATGAATTTTGTACTTAGAAATCCCCAAGATTTCTCATTATATATATATATGCAAATATTCCAAAATCCAAAATAAAAATCTGACATCTGAAACACTTCTGGTCCCAAGCATTTTGGACAAGGGATACTCAACCCTTATTATCAATACTAATATGTTGTTCTACACCTCAAAACTCACCATGTTCAAAACTTGTTCACCTTCTTGATTAGCCAATCAGTTAATGATTGATGTCATCACCATCTACCCAGTCTTCAAAAACTAGAAACTTCATTCTTAGCTCCTCTCACTTCCTTTTCTTAACTGTGATAATGAATTACATATATCATCTCATCTTATTTTATTATACTTTAAGTTCTGGGGTACATGTACAGAACGTGCAGTTTTGTTACACAGGTATACACGTGCTATGGTGGTTTGCTGCACCCATCAACCCATCACCTTTACATTCAAATCTTACTCTCACTTCTAAGTATCTCTATTTTTCCTCTTCACTGCTTCAGTTCAGATTTTTATTATCATTTGCTTCAGTGATGTTCAACTGTCTTCTAAATGGTCTACCTGCCTTGTCTGTCTTCCAATCAGTTATTTGATAGAGCCAGTTTTCAAAAACACAAATTGTATCACTAACTTTGATTTTCTCAGAACATTTCCCTACTATATAGAAATCTAAGGCCCTCAGACTGACAGAGACCACTTCTAATCTGGTCCTTATTTACTGTATTGGCCTCATTTCCTTTCTCAAAGTTTGCCATGCCTTTCTACACACTTTGAGCTCTAACTTAAATTCTCATTGCTAGAACATTATATCATCCGTTGTCTCTGCTAGAGCAGTGGTTCCCAACCTTTTTGGCACCGAGGACCAGTTTTGTGGGAGACATTTTTTCCATGGATGGTGGGGAGTTGTGGAGGAGGAGGAAGGATGGCTTCAGGATGAAACTATTCCACCTCAGATTATCAGGCACAGGCTTTAGATTCCCATAAGGTGCACACAACCTAGCTCCTCCACATGCACAGTTCACAGTAGGGATTGTGCTCCTAGGAGAATCTAGGTGGTAGGTAATACTTGCTTGCCTGCCACTCACCTCCTGCTGTGCTGCCAGGTTCCTAACAGGCCACGGACCAATACCAGTCTGTGGCCCGGGGACTGGGGATCCCTGTGCTAGAGGACTCCTACTTATCCCTCAAAACCCAGCATAGATAGCAGTACCTCTATGAAGCTTTCCCTCATGCCCTAAGGCAGCTGCTTTGTTCTCCTGTTTCTACCTTAATTATAACACTTATAGTCTATTCAAGAAATTTACTTCTGACAAATTTTTTTTCCTCCACCAGGTTATGAGCTCCTTGAAGGCAAGCACAGAAAAGCAGATCTAATTTGACAGAGTGCCTGCCTCATGGTGAGCAGTCTTTGAATGAATCACAACATTTTTGTAAGGAAAAGCTGAGACGTTGAAAATAAAAATATATGGTATTACAACTCCCGCACATTTATTTCACAACTCTCTACTTCATGTTAGAAGTTTAAACAAATCCATATAATTGTATACACTTTCAGCATTTTTCCATATGAGAAACACATAAATACAGCAAGTGGAGAATATTTCAACCATATACAGCATCACATTGATCATGTTTGTCATCAGTTTTAAAATACATAAACTTTGAAGCTGAATGACAGAAAAAGGTATTGTTTTAGTCTGTTCTCATGTTGCTAATAAAGACATACCTGAGACTAGGTAATTTATAAAGGAAAGAGGTTTAATTGCCTCACAGTTCCTCAGGGCTAGGGAGGCCTCAGGAAACTTACAGTCATGGCAGAAGGGGAAGCAAACATGTCCTTCTTTACATGGCAGCAGCAAGGAGAAGTACTGAGCAAAAAAGGGAAAAGTCCCTTATGAAACCATCAGATCTCATGAGAACTCATTCACTATCATGATGGTAACCACCCCCATGATTAAATTACCTCTCACCAGTTCCCTCCCATGACATGTGGGGATTATGGGAACTACAATTTAAGATGAGATGTGGGTGGGGAAACAGCCAAACCACATCAGGTATAAAGGTTGATATCTCTGAATATAAACCAAAATTTTTTTTGTACCTCCTTGCATTTTCCAAATTTTCCAAAATGTACATACATTAATTTTATGATAAAAATGTATGCAAAAATGAAAAGTAGGTATTCTATAAAACCAAAATTATAGAGACTTAAATCTCCTCAAATAAGTTTTTTTTTTAAAAAATTGACAAAACATACAGATTTATGGTGTATAACATGATATTTTGATATATGTATACAATGTGGAATGGTTAAATCAAGCTAATTAACATTATTTTATAGACTCTACATCATGGGAACCTGACAAAGGATCACAGTTGGATTCAATGTATAGAAATTATTCTTTTCCAAAAACAAAGTTAGACTTGATGAAAAAACATACCAACCCAAAGGCATATAAATACAAAATACAGAATGAAGTGGACAATTGAGTTTGGTTGGTCTTCATTATCATGATGTTTCAGGTTCAAGTGCTTTGGGGCCTTACAAACTTCAAATTAAATGCTTTAATCCTATACTTTGCTTTGCATGTACATATATAATACTAAGAACAGAATTTGACAATAAAGAACTCCTAAAACTTGTTAATAAAAACTCAAACAACCCAATTAAAAATGCCTTAAGTTTTAAATAGAAATTCCTCCCAAAAGACATACAAATGACAAGCACATGAAAGAATGAGCAACATCATTAGAGAAACACAAATCAAAACCATGATAAGGCCACAGACATTGTGACCCATTCCTGTAATCTCACCACTGTGAGAGGCCAAGGTGGGCAAATGGCTTCAGCCCAGGAGTTTGAGACCAGCCTTGGCAAGACAGCGAAACCCAGTCTCTACAAAAATTAGCCAGGTGTGGTGGTATGCACCTGTGGTCCTAGCTACTCAGGAGGGTGAGGTGGGAAGATTGCTTGAGCCCAGGATTTTGAGGCTGAAGTAAGCCATGATCATACCTCTGCACTCCAGCCTGAGTGACAGAGCAAGACTCTGTCTCAGGAAAAACAAACAAATAAACAAACCCCACAATAAGCTACTTCTTCATACCCACTAAGATGGCTATAATAAAAAAGATAGAAAATAACAAGCACTGGTAAGGATGTGGAGAAATTAGAATGCTCATATATTGCTGGTGGGAATTTAGAATGGTGCCACTGCCTTGGAGAATAGTTTGATGGTTCCTCAAAAGATTAGTGTTACCGTAAGACCCAACAATTCCACTCCTAGTATATACCCAAGAGGAATGAAACATATGTGCAAACAAAAACTTATACATGAATGTTCACGGCATTATTCATAAATAGCCAAAATGTGGAAACAACCTAAATGTCCATCAATTAATGAATGAATAAACAAAATGTGGTATACCTATCTATAAAACAGAAAGTAATAAAGTACTGATACATGCTACAACATGGATGAACCTTGAAAACATCATGCTAACTGAAAGAAGCTAGCCACCAAGACCAAACAGCACACGATTTCAGTTATTTGAAATGTCCAGAAGAGTCAAAGTTATAAACATAGACAACAGTTGAGTGGTTGCTTAGAGCTGGGGATGTGGAAGTGCAGCAGGAGAGAATAGGAGTGACAGCTAATGGCTATGCATTTCTTTTTTGGGGATGAAAATGAAGATTTTGGTGATGGCTTCACATCCCTGTGGATATAGTAAAAACCACTGAAGTGTACACTTTTAACTGGTGAATTATACCATAAGAACTGTATCTCCATAAAGATGTTGTTTTGTTTTGTTTTAAAAAAGATGTTGTCTGGCCCCTTTTTCAACAAATTACATGATCTGGGGAATTGGCCTTTTCATTTATAAACTGGAATAGCATCTGTTTCCATCTTTCCACCTCTAGCTGTAAGAATACATAAAACATATTAATACATGAGAGAAACATTCTAGAAAGCTAGTTTCATAACTTGAAGATTACTCTATTGATTTATTGCTGCAATAACAAATTACCCCCAAACATAGCATCTTAAAACAACAAACATTTATTTATTTATTCATTTATTTATCTTTTCTGAGACAGGGTCTCATTCTGTTGTCCAGGCTGGAGTGCAGTGGCACAATCACGGCTCACTGCGCCTCAACCTCCTGAGCTCAAGCAATCCTCCCACCTCAGCCTCCTGAGTAGCTGGGACTACAAGGTCCACACCACCATGCCCAGATAATTTTCACATTTTTTTTTGTAGAAACAGGGTTTTACCACGTTGCCCAGGCTGGTCTTGAACTCCTGAGCTCATGCAATTCCACCCGCCTTGGCCTCCCAAAGTGGCTAGATTACAGGCATGAGCCACTGTACCCGGCCAAACAAATATTTATTACCCTACACAATTTATAAGGATCAGAAACCTGGAAGTGTCTTAGTTGGGTGGGTCTTAGGTCTCTTGAGGTTGCAGTAAGATTTCAACCAGGGCTGGCTGCAATCTCTGAAGTCTTGACTGGAGTGGGAGGGTCTGCTTCCAAGAGCCTTCATGTGGCTATTAGAGCCTTCAGTTTCTCATCTTGTGGGTTCCTCCATAGGGCTGCTCATGACATGGCTTCCTCCAGATCAAGTGGTCAGAGAAAGAAAGTATGACAGCAATCAAGAAGGAAACTCCACCTTTTGTAACCTAATCTCGGAAGTGGCACATCACTACTTTTACCAAATCCTACTGGTTACACAGAGCAACTCTGATACAGTGTAGCAGGGATTAGACAAGGGTATGAATACTAGGAGGCGGGAATCACTGGATGCCATTGTGGAGGCTAGTTACCAAAACGACATGATAACAAGTAGACCAGATTCTACATAAGCAAATGTTTGACCTTTGCACTGAAAGAGGATACTACTTACTCCTCAACAGTGTGACAGACACACTCAGAGATGTTTTATGAGTTGCAATAAAAGGGTGTTCAAGAACATTCATACTGATTTTCATTCTTCCTGTAACTGAAGTATGCTTAGAATAATGAAACACAAAACTGTAGAGCTGGGGTGAAAAAAGTATGAGAAGAATTTAGTCAACTTTATTCTCCCCTCCCCTATCACCAACAGATGAGGGGAAAAAGTCCCAGTCATGGAAAGAATGGGTGACTCCACCAGGGTCACATAGTGCTAGAGCAGGAGACTAGAATCCATTCTCTGTGTTTTCTCATCATACTCAGAACTATGTATCAGAAAACCAAAGGCAGTGACTCATAATCCAGATGACATGGTGTACATGTAAGCATTAATTCAATATACATTAAACAGCTGGTCACTCCAGAATGGACATTTCTTTCTGTGGCTTTTCAACACTGGATGTGTACACTTTCTCAGGTAGCAGTAGACTCTTACCCTCTTTCCATCCAACTAAGAGTTGACCCATAGTCAAGTTGAGGCAAGACCTAAACCTGGAACACTCGGCAAATTAGACATTATGTGACAGGAGACCCTAAAGATTTATATATTTTTAATAATTTTATTTAATGAAACATTATATAACAGTTACAATATGCCAAATACATTATAAAATTAACTCATTTAATCCCCTATGAAGTCATCCCCATTTTACAGATGGATAAAGTGAGGCCTGAAGAGGTTAAGTAACTTGCCAAAGTTCTCACATCTGGTAAGAAGAAGGGCCAGGGTTCAAACCCAAAAAAGAATGGCTACAGAGTCCATACTTTCTTAACCACAATAATATGAAGCTTCTCAATAATAGTAATAATTGTTCTTCTGCTTCCCTAATATGTCTTTTTTTCAAGGTTCTGAAGGAAGGTCAATCATGTAATGCCAAAACTCTGAGAAATCCTAGCTTTCAAGTTGTATAGGGGAAGAGAGTATCTAGTTCAATATAGTAAGGATGTCGTAGGACAGACTGCTATCCCTATGAACAGGGGTGAGGAAGGGCAAATAAACATGCACTAATGAGGTAGTGCTTTCCTGGTGCCAAAATGAAAGATACAATTGAATCATAACTGCAATTAGCAAATTAACCTAAAGTTGGAATTAAGAAATTAAATGGATGTGCTGTTCTGTAGCTACAAAAATAAATTAATTTGACCCCATCAAAGCCCACTAGAATGTGGAGAGACTAAATTTAATCTCCTAAAGATTTCCTCCCAGAATCATACCACAAGAAAATTAGCACACTGCACCACAAACAGATGTATTTGATCATTTTTTAAATAGTATGAAAAGTAGTTTGAAAAGAATAAAGCAATATATGGGCCTGGAAACCTTTTGTCTAACAAAGTAATGAGTTTCATTTTGGTAAAAAATTTGCCAACTTTGCCACCTTATAAAGCAATTGCTGTCTCTTTTCCTTATATCTGAATTTTACAACTTTGAAAAATGTTCCTTGCAAGGAAAAAAAAGTGGGGTTTTGCAGGCTACTGGCAATCTTCAAGTATTAAATTTCTACTTTGGTGTTCGCATCATATACCTTGGATCATTCACAGATCTCTCAAATAAAAACCTCACAACGTATTGTCCAAAACTGTAGGAATGGACCTTATGTAGAGCCAATTGGCATGTTATGCAAGACAGCACATGGAACAGTGTTTGACATAGAATTTTTCTAAAATAACATGTCAGTATAGTTTATTGTAATTTTGAAAAGGTCTTAAAGATTTTTAAAAATTCCTCTAAAGTTCAAAATTTTATTTAAGTCTTATACCAAGAAACCATACCTAGGTATAGAAAGTTTATAAAATTCCAAAAAGTCTGGTAACTTCTCTTTTAAATTAATTTTTCCTTTAAGTGATATCAATTGTTATTACAACTACCTTAGAGTCTCAGCATGAGAGTGGCCTTTATGAGGTCGTTGAGTTCATTCCCATTACTATATCTGAAAGGTCCACACTAAACTGTCACAGGTAAAGGCAGTTTTTCATTCTGTTATGAAAGAAGATTTTACTACAATCCTCAGTAAACCACTGCAGAGTATAAATGTACTTCCTTCATTCGAAAGTATGATAAGCTATTATCCACTTTAGGCTAATACTGAAGTTATGATGCTAACATGACAGAGGAAAAAGGAAGTGGAATAATGAGGAATTCGTAGAACACAATGGGGGATAGTCAGAGTAGGACAATGTGAGCATGGTGGTGTGTGGTCATGCACAACAGGAGTGAATGAACCCAAAGTGGAAGCCAGTTAGCAAATGGCTGCTTTCCTAATTACAAACGCCTTCTGACTGGGCTCCCTCACTCTATTATCTGTACCCTAAACCAGCCAATTCTATATGTACCTAATCTTGACTCACAGCTTTGGCACATATAAAACTCCTAGAGCCTCTTCATCTTAAGTGACTGAGCAAAGCAGGTCAATCCTCCATGGTTCAAACCGTCATTTCCCAGAGTCATTCTAGGCATACTGAGAACCTCTACATAGGGAGAACTCAAAAGTTGTCAGGGTCTACCAAGAATAAATCCAAAATATCCTGAGTTAATCCTGCTTTAGGTCAGACCTAGAAATATAATTGTCTTGCTAAAATAAATTTAACATTAGACTCTAGCAGGCTTCCAAATTCTCCATCTTTCATCTTTTTAATTTCCCATCTGCTATGGTCTTCAAAGAGTCTCTCTATGAGAATGTGTACTTCCTTCTGCTGTTACTACTGCTACTACTACTAACAATAATAAATAGCTTACATACATATGTAGCACTGATTATGTACTAGAGACTACTTTAAGAACTTTAGATATATAAGACTCATTTAGTTCTCCTTAAAATCCTATGAGGTAGGTATTATTATTATCATCTCTGGTTGAAAAACTTACCCAAGATCACACATAGCTAGTAAGGGGAAGTACCAGGATTTAGACCTGGCAATTTGGTTTCAGAGTCTATGCACTAAGGTACTGTATCATATTCCTTTAAGACCAGACACCTGGGTTCTGGTCCTGTCTCTGACATTAATCAACTATGTGACCTAGAGGAAGTTTTTGACTCAATTTCTGCTACTTAATGAGCCAGGATCAATGATCCACTTTTAGTTATACAATGCTGTGATGATAAAGCAGGTGCTTTTTATTAACAAGCTTGACATTAATAGATGAGCCAGAAGGCTTGAGTCTTAAAAATTATATATCTATACATTATATAATGGAAGGGAAGAAGGGAAATAATAATAACTAAGTTAATATTCTAAGCATTTTTACTTATTTCCTCATTTTGTGTTCTATGATGTAAGCATTATGACCCATATTTTACAGAGGAAAACATTGAGACTCAGAGATAAAGTAATTTATCCAAGGTCACACAGATAATCAGGATGGAGTGCCAACATTTAAATGCAACCAAAGACCAAGTACTTTCTCTTATACCACAATTCTTCCCTGGTGTTGTCTGTCCCTCCTCTCAGCAGAGATTTAAAAGTACCTAGCACAAAGTCTTGCAAACAGCCCAAACGCAATAAATTAACTTGGAGGTGGAGATGGAGATAGACAAATGAATATCAACTTAAAAGTGGTAACAGGTTGTTACCCAAAACAAAAGTGGATACATTTTTGTGCAATTTCCACAAGGTAGGCTGTTCACCATATCAAAATAATACATTTTTGAAGGGAAAGTTTGTATGACTTGAATTCATTCCTAAATAAACAATGAAGAAATACCATAACAATGCCAATATATATGAGATTTCTAAACCATATACATGAGCACTTGTGGCATTTTGCTGCATGAAATTACTTCCTAACAATAACAAAGAAACATTTTGTTAAAAAAAATCTCCATTTTCCCTATCAAGACTTTCACAAATGCCAATGAAAAAGCAAAGTGTCTTATACATTAAGGGAAGTCAGGAAAGTCAGAAACTACTGTGCTAACTTATTAAATTCCTCTTTTGGTTTGCAAATGGAGACATTAATTTATTCACTAATTCATCCAACAAATAATAACTGAACAGCAAGTATGTACAAGGTATTATTTTATTAATAAATGTGTGCTAGGACATTAGAGGAAACATGCATATAAGGAGATTCCAATGAAGTGTGATTGAGTGCTATGATTAAAAGATATATAGGGTGGTTATCACACTATGCCCCATAAATATGTACAATTATTATGTGCCAATTTTTTTAAAAAGGTACTATTATGACTCCTATTTCACAGATGAGGAAACTGAGGCTTGGAGTAACCAGTTGTTATAGTCTGAATGAGAGCGATCATCTTTATAGATTTTTAACTATACAATTCTCACCCAAGTTCAAATGCTGCAACTTAATTACCAGTGTGATAATATTAAGAGGTGAGGCTTTTGGAGGTGATTTAGTCATGAGGGCAGAGCCCTTATGAAGAGAATTAGCTCCCTTATAAAAGAAGTACAAGGGAGCTGTTTGCCCCTTCCGTCATGTGAGGACACAGTAAGAGATGCCATGTTAGAAGTGGAAAGCAGCCTTCACCACGCATGAAACCTGCCAGTGCCTTAATCTTGGACTTGCCAACCTTCAGAACTATGAACAATAAATGTCTAATACTTATATATAAAAAGATATATAGTGTGTTATAGGAACATGGATGTTATTTATGAAGAGTTAGAGGAGTTTTTGAAGGAAGTGACATTTGAGAGAAGGCTAGAGAGTATGATGTGTTTAGAAAACAGCAAACATTAGAATTCAGAGTATATATACAGAAGTCTTGTTTTTGCTAACAGATTGATTTTATTAAATTAGTGAACCTTTAAAGTAACAGTATTCAGAAACTATTCAAAATTCTTTCTTAAAAAAGGGAAAATAACAGCTGGGTATATTAAAACAATGTTCATATTGATTATCTAGACATATTATTGGTACATACTAACATACTTTAATTTCTTAGCATCTGAGTAGTATTTTTCTGAAAAATGTAAATTTGTTCAACTCCTATGAAAAATAGTATGGCAAATTTTCAAAGAACTTAAAATAGAAATACAATTCAACCCAGCAATCCCATTACTGGATATCTAAACAAAGGAAAAAAACTAGTTTTATCAAAAAGACTGCACTCTTATGTTTACTGAAGCACTATTTACAATAGCAAAATCATGGAATCAACCTAAGTGTCTATCAACAGTGGATTAGATAAAGAAAATGTGCTACATATATACCATGGAATACTACGCAGACATAAGAAAGGATGAAGGATAAAATCATGTCCTTTGTAGCAACATGTATGCAGCTGGAGGCCATTATTCTAAGTAAATTAACACAGAAAAAGAAAACCCAATACTGTATGTTCTCACATATAAGTGGGAGGAAACAATGGGACAGAAACATGAAAACAAAAGACACTAGGGACTCCAAAAGAAGAGAGGGAAGTGGGGGGCAAGTCTTGAAAAACTACTACTGGGTACCACATTCACTGTTTGTGTGATGGGTTCAATAGAAGCTCAAACCCTAGCACCATGCAATGTAACACATACGCACATGTACCCCCCTGAATCTAAAATTTAAAAAATGAAGTTGAGGCTTTTATCACCGAAAAATTATATGAAACAATAAAATTAAGATCATATTGGAAAATACACAGTCTTCTGGGAAATCTTTTTGATTTGTTGTATTCAACAAATAATTATATGACCATAAAATTAGAAGTTTAACAAATAACATATTTCAACACTTTCATTTTATTTTTAAGAAAACTAAACCCTTTAACATATGTGCTCAGAGTCTTAACACAAGGATGATTACCACACAATGTTAGATCATCTTTAAACACAGAAGTGAACACTACTGTGTCAAAGAGAAAAAGTAGTTGACTGCAGCTATGTAACCACTCACCTTAGAAAACCTGTAACCTTCTCAGCATGAAAGATGTCTGTCACATTTCCTAATATAATAATTACTTAGAGAAACCACCTCCAGCAGCTCTGAATGGTGCCACATTAAAAAAAATGTTAAAATCTATGAACTGCCTCTCCTTATGTACTCTAAGCATTCACCAAAGAACACTGGAGATAAAACTACCTTTAACACATAAATACAGTTAACTCATCAGTTAATTTAAATATTTCTTCCTCTTTAAATCCAGCTCTTGTTCATTAAATTATTTTTAAAAAGGATTCTTTGAAATCTCCTGCAGATTTAGATACAAGCTTTGTCATCTACAAGTCATTAATTACTAAGTAACAACTATGGGACAATAGTAAAAGTAGTAAGGTTCTACAGCAATGCCAAAATCAAATATAGATGTAATTCAAAAAATATAAAATGTCAATAAATAAAACACTATTTCTTTGCTGTCTGCCCAAACACTGCCCACAAATCTTTTGCAGTCTAGTTCTCATGTTACATTTCAAGAGATAGAAACGATTTTGGGGGAAGGCTACGAGAATTTTGCTGTATAAAGTACCACTTGAACTAGCTGTGTTATCATCTTGGACTTCAGAAATTTCTCATATTTCTGGAGTATAATGGATAGAAAAGCAAAATTCTATTTGCAAAAATTTGCATTATTTGTAACAACTTTGGAAAAAGTTAGAAGTACATCACTGAATATTACTATTTAGTTTTATACTATAAAATTTATTTAAGTTTTAACTATAGGATTTATTTAAAACAGCAAGCTCATTAATAATTCAAAAAATCTGATTTATGTAACTTTTCAGGAACATACATTATAAAAAAGTGGACAAAATTCAAAGACTTTCTTGAATGTTTATTATAATAAGATTTGATCTCCAAGTTTTAAAAAAAACTGCAAGAGACTTGAAAAGAACTAATACATCTATATTTAAATGAGAATTTAAACATGAGGGAAAACAAAAATCTGAATCACTTCTGAACAGGCAAGAATTTAAAAGGAAATACAAATGATTAATAGTAGTTACCCCTGGGGATGGAGTAGAGAATTTACTTTTTGTTTTATACATGTCCATATTGTTTTCTTTTATAACAAATATGTATTACTTTTGTCAATTGTAAATACTTCCTTAAAACTCTTATCTTGTATTCCTTTTTTATAAGCAAATCAACATAAAAGCATTCTTTTATATCATGCAACAGTGGTCCTCCACCAAGCATTCATTAGAATCCTATAGATAACAGTATTATATTCTATACTTAAAAATCTATAAAGATGATAGCTCTCATGTTAAGTGTTCCTACAATTTTAAAAAAGAGTGCACAGAATTAACTATGGATTTGAAAAATATGCTGATATCTGTATCCCACTCCAGAATACCGAATTAGAAAGGCTTAGGAATCACTAAACTAGAGGACCCTTTCAGGTTCTTTCCAATCCTGAAATTGTATTGCTTACAAATATTTTGCATACCTTCAGAGTACAAGCACCAAGAGCTACACAAAGTAAAAGCATAATCTCATCTTTATAAGATTATGAGAGAGGTGAAGGTCCTGTTCCCTAGCATTATGCACCCTAATTACTGATCTAGAGAAACTTGCAGGAAATTAACTGAAGATTAAAACATATATATATATATATATATAGACACACACACACACACACACATATATATAGACACACACACACACACACATATATTTTAAGACAGGGTCTGAGTGCAGTGGCACAATCATAGCTCACTGCAGCTTCCAACTCCTGGGCTTAAGTGATCCTCCCACCTCAGCCTTCCAAATAGCTGGGACACACATCATCATGCCCGGCTAATTTTTTTTTTATAGAGACAGGGTCTTGCTATGTTGCTCAGGCTCAAGTGCTCCTCCCACCCTGGCATACCAAAGGGTTTGGATTACAAGGATGTGCCACTATGTCCAGCCAAACAAACTTTTTTCCTTACAGTTATTTTGAAACAAAACTCATCATATTTTGCTACTACTAAGAATCTGGGAGAACTGGCTCTAATGTAAGCACCAATTCTTGAAGAAGTGATAGGGAGGCAGTGTGGGGAAGGGCATTGTTGTATATTATTATATTGGTTCTCAACTTAAAACAATGAGAAGTGGCATTTTTCAGTGAGTCAGGTAAGTGTTAGCATTTTCCCTAGCATGGCACTTCATCTGTATCAGTAGTTCTTGATTCTATTAAACCCAATGACCCTTTGTTATATAAAAGTCTATATATATGTTTAAATTCCTCTTTTTATATCCTGAAATGAAATTCACAGGTATTTTTAAAAAGTTGAAAATAATAAAACACTCTAACGGTAACATAAAGAAAAAAATGAAAATAGTTCTTAATAAAGTATGTATTTCAATAAGTACATGCTCAGACATGATTATACTAAAGACAATTAAGTAGTCAGATGCTTACAACTAGTTACAATTAATATATTCAAATTTAAGAGAAGTCAGATAAGAAATTTCATGTAACAAGCACAGAAAAATGAAGCCCAGTAATTTTTAGAAATGGTTCCAAACAATACAAAGTACAATTATCTCTTGACGTACAAGGTAGCTACATTTCTGAAAAATTTAGTATTCATTGAAATGTATAAAAATACTTTGTGCTTATATATAAAATAGGTTACAGGCATAGATAATTATATAAAGATATTTTCCCCCTTCGTGCATATGTTATATAGGGGACTTTCAAAAGCTATGCAGGAACCCACCATTCTTCTCTACGCAGGATATTCTGTGCTTTCCATGATGCCTAGTATCCCTGGCTGCTGCCACTAAATCACTGACCAAACATAAATGTTCCCCAAAATTCCAAAGTGTTCCCTAGAGGTTAGTAACACCCCCTCCTCCCCCCGCCCCCAATGTGAACCACTGGTCTGCATGAACTTTCAGTACCTGCATGTATACTTATTGCAGATTCTCACCCTGGAGTAGATTGGGGGAAGATGACTGCTGGTTCCTGATCTAAGGCTAAAGCTTCTATAAGGACTACTTTTAAGTGAAAAACCTTAGTACACTTCATACTCACAAGCTTCCAGTAAAAAATTTTACCCAAAACTGTGTATTTGTTAAAAACTTAGTTAAAAAATAAACAATAAATTTATTTTTACATCTATAGTAGAGAATTAAAGACATCTATACTGATTAATTCTGTTTCCTCTATCCACCTCCCCTAAAAAAAAATACTGTCCCTTGAGGTTTCTAGATAACCAGTGTTAAACTGTGAAGATACAACCATTCTCTTTTATTCACACTAAAGGATACACTGATGCAAACAATGCAAAAGTCATTTACGTATGACACTGAAATATATTACCGTATTTTTATTTGGCAGAACGGCTTCCTAATTAAATTTTGATTAGGCATCTATTAAAAGGAGTTTACATTTCTTGATCAACCCAATGACTAAAGTGTATGTCTTCTGGGGGTAGGTGAGAAAAACTACTGAGTCTGAGAACTTGCTATGTGCTCGGAAGAAAGTGACGTGAGTGTTTTTGTACATGTCACTTGTTGGGATTTGGATATATAACTTATTTTTAATACTGAAAAACTTCCATACTTTCATATAGTTTTTTTTTTTTTTTTGGAGATGGAGTCTCGCTCTGTGGCCCAGGCTGGAGTGCAGTGGCACGATCTCGGCTCACTGCAAGCTCCGCCTCCCCGGTTCACGCCATTCTCCTGCCTCAGCCTCTAGAGTAGCTGGGACTACAGGCCCTCGCCACCACGCCCGGTTAATATTTTGGATTTTTTTAAGTAGAGATGGGGTTTCAACATGTTAGCCAGGATGGTCTCGATCTCCTAACCTCGTGACCCGCCCGCCTTGGACTCCCAATCATATAGATTTTATGTTAAATTAGCACAATTTGAAGATATGTCATAGATATATCCTTGCTTTAAATAAAGTTGGTGAAGCCTTCACTTTACCTAAAAGGATTCACAACTTAAAGAAAAATCATTGTAACATTCCTTTGAACATAAAAACTCTTACGAGTTAAAATGCCATTTAAAAATTAATGAATTAATGAATATTTGAATTTGAAAAAATTAGTGAATAAATTAATGAATATTTGAATTTCAAAAAAATTAACGAATAAATTAATGAATAAAATAATAATGACTATTCAATTTCAACACATTATGAAAGACTCTTAAAATGTCTATTGAAATGTTACAGTAGGTAGCTAGTCAGGTGTGAGCAGGGCAGGAAAAGGCTCCCCGCAACACACACCAGGAGTATTGGGTGACCATCAGTTGATGGTCGGTGGTTGTTAACCATTTCGCTAAAGTATTAATTGGTCACAGCTGGCACCGGGGAAAGGCGGTCTCATAATAGACAGAAAACACCTGAATCTGATCAGCAGCTTCCCAGTGAGATCCCAGAAGTATGCCAACATACAAAATCCCCCACATCAAGAGGTCAAGCTGCGTACTTGTCTTCTCAAGTCGCCTGCTTGGCCCTCTTTCAAGTTGTACTTTCCTTCCTTTCCTTCCTGTTCTAAATCTTTTTAATAAGCTTTCGCTCCTGCTCTGCAAAAAAAAAAAAAATGTCTATTTCAATGTCCATTGAAATAGCAATTAGCCTCCATTGGTGAAATGACTCTGTTAACAGGTATTTAGCTGATTTTTCCACTTTGAATTTCACTAATTTAACTAATAATGCCTAAAATCAATCAATATTCCATTTTAAAAAATAATCATAATATGGTTATCTTCCTTCACATCTAAAGTTGGTAAGAAAAACTGCCTTATCCATGCACAGCCATCACTTTGTGTTGATTTAAAAATATGCAAAGTTTTGTGCAAAACAAAACATTCATTTTTCAGTATTTTGATTTCTATTTTATAAGTAAACTTTGTTAAAATGTGGAACTTGCAAGTTTATATACTTTTGAGGGTGAAATTCACTTTTGAATCAGTTTTAAAGCAACTGAGCATATATACCAGCTAGGCACTATTAACCTCAGAACAAAAGTTGTATTTTCTACTCTTAAACAGAATTCTGGTGCTGATAACAAACAACCTCTACACATTAAAGAATATGTGATCTGAAAAACTCTTCATCTAATATAAACTTCCAAGCACATACTGAATGTGTAATACAAAGCTTTGCACTTACCTGGTAGTAGGCCGTTTTTGTAGGGCTTTATCCAGGATAAGAGATGGAGCGCTCCTCCTCCTTTCTGCTAGTGTTTTCATTTTCTGTTGATGAAACAAACCAAAATGAAGACCACATGGCTTGTAAGGCAAGACAATGTTGATTTTTTTTTAAATCCAATTTAACAAGTTTTGCATTGCCTATCTTTGTCTGTCAAGGAGCCTACAGTTTCATTATGGAGATAAAACTGTAACATCTAAAATAGGATAGTTAAAAAAAAAACAGGACAGTAAGTGTCAAAAAGTGGTAAAAGCAATAAGTATTTTTTGTGGTCAGAGAATAAAGAGGTTAAATGTTTACCAGAATATTTGGGAGAAACACCATCATAACCATTATTACTGGTTATCATGTGTCTGGCTCTATGCTAAAGGCTGGACATGGATTACCTTATTTATTATAATCCAAAATGTCATCCGGGTAGATACTACTATCTTTATTTCACAGGCAAATTTGGCTTCAAGAAAAGACAAGTAAAGGAGAGGAAAAAACAGTTAAAGCAAAAGCACAGAGACTAGATTTTTGCATAAATATTAACACACTTGGGAATCCCTTCTTCCAAATAGACTTTTTTAAAACTGTAACTTCAAACAATAAAAAAATCTTTTTTTCTAGGTGGTATATAAATATAAGACGGTGGTAATCTGTTCCAGTGACCTAAAGTTGCAGTAAATGAAGTTTATTCGACTTGAATTATTCAGATAATTACTCTCTAAATTTAGTCTTATATATTTAACACATCTAGATACAGCCACTAGAAGCAGATGAGTAAAATTAACCATATATAGTCACAAACAGCCATGAGCGAAGTTCAGGCTGTATTATCAAAGCCGTTCTTCTCACCCTATATCTCTATACCCTTTCATCCCATATCCCTCTCACCCTGTATCCTCGCCAAAGGTGTTACCCACTACCTCTAGGCCAGTCATGCTTGGGAACTGGATGTTGCTCCAATGGGAACCATATAAAACTAGGCAGCTCAGTGTCGGTATCCTATTATGTGATTCATAAAGGAATTGCTTGTAGTTTTTAAAGTAAAACAATGATCTTAGCATAGGAATAAAGAAAGAATCATCCAGTGAGAAGAGGATGCTAGACTTCTTTGGCACAATTCTTATCCCACAAATTCTCCATGCTCCTAGGGATCTCTCCCAAATTATTGTCACCACTGCTCTGGCCTCGGTGTTGCTATTCCACTTGTTAATCTTTTGGCTCACATGTGGAAGCTATAGGCACAAATCTCCTTAGCACAGCTGAGACAACAGCTGGAATAATTATGTAAAACATTAATAAATGACAGGAAACACATGGGTTAAAAATAGATAACATCAAACATCTCAATTGGGAGTTATTAACCACAAATCAATTTCAGGCCAGGTTACTTATATAAAAATTTTTTGCATGATGTATATGTGATGTCTTCCTTCTAGAGAAACAGCCCGGAGTTATCATCGGATTCCCAGAAAAGTCGAATCCTTTCCAACACTGGTGATTTCAATAACCTAGTTTATATATTATAGCGTGCAAGCCCCATCTCACTGTTTCCATTACTCACACCTCTTAGGAACATAATCCTCAGGAATCTAATATCCTTAGGCTAGTGTGACTGCAGAGGTTACAAGGAGAAAGGAAAACTGGGAGATAAGCATTTGTATTGCAAGGTACAGCAGCACTTCCTCATGTGAAGAGTCTCAATACTGAAAGATTGGATTGATTTTACTAAGAAAAGTGGCAGTTTGTTCATATCCATCAAGCTATGTTCCAGATTTTTTGCAGGGTTCTGTTTCACCTTCAGGCCTGGAATTAATTCCTACTCTCTATCCTGATTCTCTTTACAGGACCAATTTACTACTTTGAAGTGTGAAATGTACCCACTCTTGTAAGCTTTACCTTTGTCCCTCACACCCTCTGTCTGCTTTGACCTTGAGGATCTGCCATTCAGCAGCTTTACATCTGCTTTCTCTAACCTTCTGAAATCACTGTCAGCAGATCCAAGATTCTAAACTAGATCTTCATTAGTACATAGTTTCTAATTCTGAGCTCCTTGGCTTTCAGGTTTACGAAGAATTTGGAAAAGATTCAAAAGACAGTGTAAAATGACTTAAAATGTGAAGAAAAAGAGCCTATGAAACAGGATAAAATGATCTGAGATTCTTCATTTAGAAACAGTAATAATCTCAAAATTAATGCAGAACTATAATGTGGAGGAAAGTTAGCATCTTCCAAGGAAGATGAGGCAAAAAGAAATGAGGAGAAACATGGAATGAAAATCCAGGTTGACCTTGGGTAGTGGTTTGTTGAGAAATCTATAAAAGTTGTGAACTAAATTTTGCATGCAACTTCAGGGGTTCAGAACCCCCATGAAATGGATTCCTTAGGGATTTATGAACCGCAAGTTAAGAAACTTTCTGATGTAAGAAAATCCTCCCAAGAATGATAGCTGTTAAACATGAGAATGGATAATCAAAGAAGGGTGACAAATTTTGTTCTGAAAAGGTGCTTTTGAAATGGGTGTTTTTCATGGAAATCTACTGTAGAAGATCATTTGTATAATAGTGAATAGAATGTATTTTCTGAGTTTTAAAATTGTCAGATGTATAATGGGTCAAATGCTGAGTGTAGCCACTTCATCCAGCTTGATTTATATTGAAGAGAATGCAATCAAACTACCAGCAGGTAGTTTGTTTTTATTTCAGGTTCCATTGTTCGTACTCAGACTTACTCTATCATTAATGAGATGTGCAACCCAAGGCAATTCAGCCACTTCTCTGGGCCTCCATTTCCTTACTCACAAAATGAGACAGTTTGGACTACATAGTCACTTAGGTCCCTTTATTTCTGATAGTCCCACATTAAGTGTCCACCAAAGATTCACCGTGGATATGCAAGAAAATAAACATTACATGAACCATACATTTAGGATTCACAGGATTCATTCTAAATAAGTAACAAAAGGTCTTACAAGCAGCCAATATAACCAGGGGCTTAATAGATTTAGATATTAATTCATTCAAAATACACTTATCTCTTTCTTTTGCTTAAAAGTGTAACCAAACAAAGGGCCACTAATAACTTCAAAACAAATTCACTGATCTCTTAAAGAATCTGTTCTCAGGCAATGAAAACTTAGATTTTCTTGTTTACAACTATGTGAAATACATCAAAATAGAATGAAACTATTGATTCTTTTACAGGTGTATAATAGTACAAACTTATCAGGACAGGCTTACGTTATGCTTATCTTAGCACAAACAAATTTCACAGTTGTTCTGTGACAGGGATAACTATAATTATTTGCTTCACAGAAAACAAGGTAAACTTCAAACAGTATATAGTATATATTTTCTGTTGTACTTGATGTTTATAACTAGATGACTTCATAAATAGTGGATACCACTCTGAAATAGAATATTTTTAAAAGGTAATGTTTTAAAGAAACGATAAACTATACATTTAGGCAAAAATACTCAATTAATTAATTGCATTAATCTTTTGGGAATGAGTTTGATATCGTATCACTTACCTAGTGTTAAGTAGCCCCAAAAACTAAATAAGAATTTTATGTGAGCTAAGAAACAAACAAATATGAAGTAGTACCTATCTATCTCTCTGTCCCCCAAATGGGAAAAAATGAGGAGGAGAATGGAAGAAGTTCTAACATGGAATAAAGAGTGATTAAATGTCAAAAACTGTTGTCTATTTACAAATGGCCTTTTATTAGGAAAGTATAACATGAATACTAGAGAGAAATTATTAGGTTGGTGTACAAGTAATTGCTGTTTTTGCCATTACTTCCAATGGATCTTTGACCCTCTGCTGTCTCCTCTGCAGTTATATTCAGTATTGTAGGTCAAAAAACCTATTAAGCCTAACCATAAATGAATAAAGGTCATAACTGAATATGAGAACCAAATGCCAGTAATTTGTTTTTTATCTTTTACATTTAAATAATAACACAAAACTGCAGCAACACTACCAACTAATCTGCAAGGTGCTTTCTACCTTCAAGTCATTTTAAATACATGGATTAATTACATATTCAACTCTGTGTGTTCCTTCATATATGATGCCTCAGTAGTAGCATTTCACATTATACTTATGTTTCTGACCCCTTCTAGAGAGCAGGGGCTATATCTTCTTCCCAAATTTTCTCCCTTCCTTCAACAATTTTTTACTGAACTCTCCTCTGTAGCAAGCATATTTTTGCATTCCCAAATCCCGGTATAATGCCTGGCACAAACTATACACTCTATAAATGAGGGTTTTATGTGAATTAAAAAACCCACTAATTCACCACATAAATACCACCATCCCCAAATGCACACATATGAAAACAAACAAACCTTTAAGGGGCTCTGCTGGAATGGTATCATTAAGAAAAATGTAAGCATTTGCTATGGAACTAGACATAGACAGCAAGAGTATACCTGTGCACTGCAAACTACACCTTTTGAACATAGTGTTGACACTTATCACTTTGAGCTACATAGTAAACATCTGCCTGACAATAAAGTTAATCATTTGTCAACAAATAAATGGTGCTGAGATAATGGGATATCCACATACAAAAGAATAAAGTTGGACCCTTACCTCAGACCATATATAAAAATTAACTTAAAGACCTAAAAGTACCAGCTAAAAATTATAAAAATCTTAGAAGGAAACACAGGCATAATTTTGTCATCTTGGATGAGGCAGTGGCTTCTTATTAATAGATATGACACCAAAAGTACAAGCAACAGAAGAAAAAATCTAGACACTGTCAAGATTTAACATTTCCATGCTTCAAAAGACACCATTAAGAAAGTGAAAAGACAACACACAGAATGGGAAAGCTTTTATTGCAAATCATATATCTGACAAGTGACTTGTATCTATTATAAAGAAATATTAAAACTCAATAATAAAGGCAAATTGCCAAATTAAAAGTGGGCAAAGGATATGAATACAGTCTTCCAAAGAAGATATACGAATTGCCAATAAGGATATGAGAAAATGCTCAACATAATTAGCCATCAGGGAAATGCAAATCAAAATTACCACAAGATACCACATCACACACATTAGGACGACTATAATAAAAAAAGATAATTACAAGTGTTGGTGAGGATTGGAGACTGGACTCTTACACACTGCTGGTGGGAATGAAAACTGGTAAGATGGAAAACAGTTTGGCAGTTCTTCAAATGATTAAACATAGAGTTACCATACGATCCTGCAATTCTACTCCTAGGTACATATCCAAGAGAAATAAAAACATATGTCCTCAAAAAGACTTGCATATGACTGCTTATAACAGCATTATTCATAACAGTAAAAACGTGGCAACATCACCAATGCCAATCAACTGATGAATGGGTAAACAAAATGTGGTATATCTATACAACAAAATATTGCTTGGCAACAAAAAGAAATGAAGTATTGATACATGCTACAACATGAGTGAACCTTGAAAACATTAAACTAATTGAAAGAAACCATTACAAAAACCATATATTATATGATTTCATTTATATAAAGTGCCCAGAACAAGCAAATCTATAGAGACTTAAAGGTTTGTGCTTGCCTAGAGTTTGGGGAGACAGCAGAATTGGGAGATGATAGCTAAGGGGGTTCAGTGTTTCTTTCTGAGGTAATGAAAATATTCTAAAATTGACTGTGGTGATGAATGTACAATTCTATGACTACACTAAAAGCCGCTGAACATAACTTTAGGTGGGTGAATTGTATGGTATGCAAATTGATTTGGTTAATACCAAAGAAACCTAACTACCAAATTACTAAACCACTGGGCTCCAGCCCAGCAAACTGGTCCTTAGCCATAAGTTATAATTTTCTTCTTATCACAATCATCTGAAATATGTGAAAAAGGAAAATTTTTTTATCCCATTTTTTTTGGTACAAAAAGTTTCAGTGGCTGTCCATTTGAGTTCTTCAGAGATCTGAGGAATTTGCCCACCTGCTTACTGTTTTAATTAACATTTTTAAAAAATTCTAGATTCATGTGCATGTGCATGTGCATGTGCATGTTTGCTACATCGGTATATTGTGTACTGGTGAGGATTGGGCTTCTAGCATATTCATTACCCAAATAGTGAACATTGTATCTGATAGGTAGTTTTTCAACTCTTGCCACCTTACCACCCACCTCCCTTTTGGAGTCTCCAGTGTTTATTATTTCCATCTTTATGTCCATTTGTATCCATTGTTAGATCCCACTTATTAGTGAGAATATGTGGTATTTAATTTTCTGTTCTGAGTTAGTTCATTTAGGATAATGGCCTCTAGGCTCCACCCATGTTGCTGCAAAGAAAATTATTTCATTCTTTTTTATGGCTGCATAGTATTCCATGGTGTATTTATACCACATTTTATTTATTCAGTTAACTGTTGATGGACACTTGGATTGGCTCCATGACTTTGCTATTGTGAGTAGTGCTATGATGAACATAGAAATGCAGGTGTCTTTTTCTGTTTAGATGTCTTTATAACATAATGATTTCTTTTCCTTTGTGTAGATACCCAGTAGTGGGATTGCAGGATTGAATGGTATTTATATTTTTAGTTGTTTGATAAATCTCCATATTGTTTACCATAGATATTGAACTAATTTACATTCCCATCAATATTGTATGTTTCCTTTTCTCCACATCCATGCCAACAACTTTTTTTTTGACTTTTTATTAATAGCCATTCTGATGGGTGTAAGACAATATCTCATTGTAGTTTTAATTAGCATTTCTCTGATTAGTGATTTTTGAGCATTTTTTCATGTGCTTTTTGCCACTTGCTTTTCTTTTTAGAAATATCTGTTCATGTCCTTTGCCCATTTTTTAATGGAGCTGTTTTTTTCTTGTCGAGTTCTTTCAGTTCCTTGTAAGTTCTGGATACTAGTCCTTTGTCAGAGGCACAATTTGTGAATATTTTCTCCCATTCTGTAGGTTGTCTGTTTACTCTTATTATTTCTTTTGCTTTGCAGACGCTGTTTAGTTTAATTAAATCCCATTTGTCTATTTTTATGTTGCATTTGCATTTGTCTAGTTTCATTCTTCTGCATGTGGCTAGCCAATTTTCCCAGCACAATTTATTGAATAGGATGTCCTTTCCCCATTGTTTATTTTTGTTGGCTTTGTTGAAGATCAGTTGGTTGTAGGTATATGGCTTATTTCTGGGTTCTCTATTCTGCTCCATTGATCTGTATGTCTATTTTTATACCAGGACCATGCTGTTTTAGTTGCCACAGCCTTGTAGTATAATTTGAAGTCAGGCAATATGATGACTCTGGATATGTTCTGTTTGCTTAGGATGGCTTTGGCTATTTGGGCTCTTTTTTTGGTTCCATATGAACTTTAGGATTTTTTTCCTAATTGTGTGAAAAATGAAATTGGTAATTTGATAGAGACTGCACTGACTCTGTAGATTGCCTTGAATAGTATGGGCATTTTAATGATACTGATTTTTCCAGTCTATGAGCATGGGATGTTTTTCCATTTGTGTCATCTACGATTTCTTTCATCAGCCTATTTTGTTAAGGGTTTTTATCACGAAGGATGTTGGATTTTACTGAATGCCTTTTCTGCATCTATTAAGATGACTGTATGGTTTTTGTTTTTAGTTCTGTGTATGTGGTAAAACACACTTATTGATTTGTGGATGTTGAACCATCATTGCATCCCTGGGATAAAACACACTTGATCATGATAAACTATCTTCTTCATGTGCTATTGGATTCGGTTTGCTAGTATTTTGTGGAGGATTTCTGCATCTACGTTCATCAGAGATATTAGCCTATAGTTTTTGTTTTCCATTGTGTCCTTCTCTGATTTTGGTATCAGGGAGATACTGGTTTCATAGAACGAGTTAGGAAATAATCCCTCCTCATTGGTTTTTTAGAAGTTTCGGTAAGATTGAATACCAGTTCTTTGTATGTTTGATAAAATTCAACTGTGAATCTGTCTGGTCCTGGGCTTTTGTTGTTCTTGGAAGATTTTTACTACTGATTCAATTTCATTACTCATTATTGGTCTGTTCAGGACTTCTATTTCTTGCTGGCTCAATCATGCAGGGTTTTATATTTCCAGGAATTTATCCATCTCCTCTAGATTTTCTAGTTTATACGCATAGAGGTGTTCACAGTAGTCTGTGATGATCTTTTGTATCTCTATGTTATCAATTGTAATATCACCTTTATCATTTCCGGTTGTACTTATTTGAATTTTCTCTTTCTTGTTGGTTAATTTAGCCAGCAGTCTGTCATTTTTGTGTAACCTTTCAAATAACCAACTTTTTGTTTCACTGATCCTTTATATCTTTTTTTGTCTCAATTTCATTTACTTCTGCTTTAATCCTTGTTATTTCTTTTTTTGTGCTAGCTTTGGGTTCCAATTGGTCTTATTTTTCTAGTTCCTTGAGGTGTGACATCAGGTTGTAAATTTAAGATCTTTCTATCTTTTTGGTGTAGACATTTAAAGTTATAAACTTTCCTCTTAGTTCTACTTTTGCTGTATCCCTGAGGTTTTGATATGTTGCCTATTTTCATTTGTTTTGAAAATTTTTTTGATTTCTTAATTTCACTGTTTACCCAAAGGTCACTCAGGAGCAAGGTGTTTAGTTTCCATGTAGTGTGTGTTTATGAGAGTTCCTCTTGGTCTTGATTTCTAATTTTACTCCACTGTGGTCCGAGAAGATACTTGATATGATTTTGATTTTTTGGAATTTATTGGGACTTCTTTAATGGCCAAGCATATGGTCGATAATGGAGAATGCTCCATGCAGAGTGACAAGAATGTATATTCTGTGGTCGGCTAGAATGTTCTGTAAATGTTTGTTAGGTCCATTTGGTCTACAGTTCAGTTTAAGTCCAGAGTTTCTTTGTTGATTTTCTGCCTTGATGATCTGTCCAGTGATATCAGTGGGGTGTCGAAGTCCCCCACTATTACTGTATTACTATCAATGTTTTCTTAGGTGTAGTAGTATTTGTTTTATGAATCTGGGTGTTCTGGTGTTAGGTGCATATATATTTAAGATAGTTATATCTTCTTGTATTGAACATTTAATTATTATATAATGCTCATTTGTCTTTTCTATTGTTGGTTTAAAGCCTGTTTTATCTGATATGAGGATGGCTACTCCTGCTCACTTTTGTTTTCCATTTACATGACATATCTTTTCTTACCCACTTACTTCCTGTCTATTGTGATTTGCCACCATTCCTCCCCTATTCCTCCAGTGTCCTCCTTAGGGTTTTCACATAGTAAATTCTCAATAGTTGTGTATTAAGTGAATGAATTAACATATCCAATATCTGAGATTTTAAGGTAGTAATACAAGTGTGCCTATGTAGAAAAATGAAGTTGTAAATAGGTAACTGAAGAAAAAAACTTTTGTTGTTTTATTTTCAATAACAATGCAGAAAACACTTTTTAAATAAAAACCTGTATGTAGGCTCTCACTGGAATTTTAACTTCATGACAGCCAAGAGATATAGTACTATTTTTGGAACCTCTAAATCACTCTGAATCTGCTCATTATTAGTTCTCACAGAGATTAAAGAAAAACAAAGCATATCAAAAGGAAGGAACTGGATGAAAGATTAAAGTTGGAGGTGAACTGCAATTTTTCATGCTTTGTTTTGTTCCAGTCACTTTATGAGGAAAAAAAATCAAGCATTTCAGTTGAATTATGGATGCTGAAGTCACTTTCAAGCATTTAAAATAAGCATAGTATTAAAATAAGGGCACTGGGAAAGCTTTTATAGAACTCTAAATTTTCAAGGCTAGAAAAAATAAGTAATCAAATTAACAAATTAGCTTATTCAAACTTGACTATTAATTCTTTTGTGGCTAGTCTGTGCAATTTCGTGAGCATTAAAGTATTTCTTGTCTTCCCTACATGCCTGTAGCATTTACTTGTGGAGACGTATCCAAGCCACTGAACAATTATACTTCAAAGACACTGGCTCTGTAAGGGAAAAAGATAATTACTTTTTTTTTTCTTTCTTTTTTATTTTATTTATTATTATTATACTTTAAGTTTTAGGGTACATGTGCACAATGTGCAGGTTAGTTACATATGTATACATGTGCCATGCTGGTATGCTGCACCCACTAACTTGTCATCTAGCATTAGGTATATCTTCCAGTGCTATCCCTCCCCCCTCCCCCCACCCCACAACAGTCCCCAGAGTGTGATGTTCCCCTTCCTGTGTCCATGTGTTCTCATTGTTCAATTCCCACCTAAGAGTGAGAATATGCGGTGTTTGGTTTTTTGTTCTTGCAACAGTTTACTGAGAATGATGATTTCCAATTTCATCCATGTCCCTACAAAGGACATGAACTCATCATTTTTTATGGCTGCATAGTATTCCATGGTGTATATGTGCCACATTTTCTTAATCCAGTCTATCATTGTTGGACATTTGGGTTGGTTCCAAGTCTTTGCTATTGTGAATAATGCCACAATAAACATATGTGTGCATGTGTCTTTATAGCAGCATGATTTATAGTCCTTTGGGTACATACCCAGTAATGGGATGGCTGGGTCAAATGGTATTTCTAGTTCTAGATCCCTGAGGAATCGCCACACTGACTTCCACAATGGTTGAACTAGTTTACAGTCCAACAGTGTAAAAGTGTTCCTATTTCTCCACATCCTATCCAGCACCTGTTGTTTCCTGACTTTTTAATGATTGCCATTCTAACTGGTGTGAGATGGTATCTCATTGTGGTTTTGATTTGCATTTCTCTGATGGCCAGTGATGGTGAGCATTTTTTCATGTGTTTTTTGGCTGCATAAATGTCTTCTTTTGAGAAGTGTCTGTTCATGTCCTTTGCCCACTTTCTGATGGGGTTGTTTTTTTCTTGTAAATTTGTTTGAGTTCATTGTAGATTCTGGATATTAGCCCTTTGTCAGATGAGTAGGTTGCGAAAATTTTCTCCCATTTTGTAGGTTGCCTGTTCACTCTGATGGTAGTTTCTTTTGCTGTGCAGAAGCTCTTTAGTTTAATTAAATCCCATTTGTCAATTTTGGCTTTTGTTGCCATTGCTTTTGGTGTTTTAGACATGAAGTCCTTGCCCATGCCTATGTCCTGAATGGTAATGCCCAGGTTTTCTTCTAGGGTTTTTATGGTTTTAGGTCTAACGTTTAAGTCTTTAATCCATCTTGAATTGATTTTTGTATAAGGTGTAAGGAAGAGATCCAGTTTCAGCTTTCTACATATGGCTAGCCAGTTTTCCCAGCACCATTTATTAAATAGGGAATCCTTTCCCCATTGCTTGTTTTTCTCAGGTTTGTCAAAGATCAGATAGTTGTAGATATGCGGCGTTATTTCTGAGTGCTCTGTTCTGTTCCATTGATCTATATCTCTGTTTGGGTACCAGTACCATGCTGTTTTGGTAACTGTAGCCTTGTAGTATAGTTTGAAGTCAGGTAATGTGATGCCTCCAGCTTTGTTCTTTTGGCTTAGGATTGACTTGGCGATGCGGGCTCTTTTTTGGTTCCATATGAACTTTAAAAGACCAATATCCTTGATGAACACTGATGCAAAAATCCTCAATAAAATACTGGCAAACCGAATCCAGCAGCACATCAAAAAGCTTATCCACCATGATCAAGTGGGCTTCATCCCTGGGATGCAAGGCTGGTTCAATATACGCAAATCAATAAATTTAATCCAGCATATAAACAGAACCAAAGACAAAAACCACATGATTATCTCAATAGATGTAGAAAAGGCCTTTGACAAAATTCAACAACCCTTCATGCTAAAAACTCTCAATAAATTAGGAATTGATGGGATGTATCTCAAAATAATAAGAGCTATCTATGACAAACCCACAGCCAATATCATACTGAATGGGCAAAAATTGGAAGCATTCACTTTGAAAACTGGCACAAGACAGGGATGCCCTCTCTCACCATTCCTATTCAACATAGTGTTGGAAGTTCTGGCCAGGGCAATTAGGCAGGAGAAGGAAATAAAGGGTATTCAATTAGGAAAAGAGGAAGTCAAATTGTCCCTGTTTGCAGATGACATGATTGTATATCTAGAAAACTCCATTGTCTCAGCCCAAAATCTCCTTAAGCTGATAAGCAACTTCAGCAGTCTCAGGATACAAAATCAATGTGTGAAAATCACAAGCATTCCTATATACCAATAACAGACAAATAGAGAGCCAAATCATGAGTGAACTCCCATTCACAATTGCTTCAAAGAGAATAAAATACCTAGGAATCCAACTTATGAGGAATGTGAAGGACCTCTTCAAGGAGAACTATAAACCACTGCTCAACGAAATAAAAGAGGACACAAACAAATGGAAGAACATTCCATGCTCATGGGTAGGAAGAATCAATATCATGAAAATGGCCATACTGCCCAAGGTAATTATAGATTCAATGCCATCCCCATCAAGCTACCAATGACTTTCTTCACAGAATAGGAGAATTACTTTTAACCTTGCACCTTGCTTCTGGGTCATGCTATCACAGCAAGGTTTTGACTACTAGGTAAGCTGAAGCTTCCTGCTATTGTCAGTTTGGTCTGTGATAAATATGATCTTCTATTTACCCATAAATCATCCCAACCAGGACCACTTTAAACATTTAGCTAAAATAAATGTAATTACAGTACAGACTACTGTAAATGAATATATGTTCCTTTCTGAAGAAAGAATTGATTTTACTTTCCAGCTCTTTCCTCTTTCCGAAGGACTACTACCATGTTGAAATACAACAATAAACATAATAATCTATGTAATGCAGAAGAATGGGCACTAGGCTAGGAGACATTGGACCTTAATTCTGGACCCTAGTTCTACCACTTAATTTCTCAGATTTTCTCTAAAATGGACACAATACCTGCCCTACTCACTATATATATATATTCATTCATATATATGGATTCATTCATATATATTCATTCATATATATGGATTCATTCATATATATTCATTCATATATATGGATGAAAGTCCTCTGAAATGAAAAGCACTGTGATAATGTAACAGACAGTAAACTTTAAAGTGGTTAAGTGCTGTATATAAATAAATATAAGGATATTAGAATTTCCCTTATACATTATTCTTTGTTTCCTTGCCTCCATCCCCACACATGCAGGATTCTGGAGCATCACTATGGGTCTTCACGTTGGCTAGATTTTTCTTCTTTGGCAAAGCTACAAGTTTCAACCTTTGGTCATGATAATCTTTAAGCAGCACCCTGGAGTAGGTAGAGTCAATCACCAATGTTCTCTGCCTAATAGTTTCTTACAGGGCAGGGCTCCACTACATTTTTCACATAATGTTCCATACAAAATGATATTTGTACAACCATAACACTCTATGTCAAACAAAGGGGCACCTGGCTCCCCAGTATCCATCCACTCGCCTGAAGGCCAAGAGGCTAATTGTCAGACACAACCGCAACAGTTGGGAAGCTTTGCCTTACGGTAGCCCCTCATTGTCTTCAACACAGAGGGGAAAAGTACTGTGATCAAATTCTAAAACCATAATGGTAAAAATCAGACAGCCATATCAAATGAGAATAAAAAGCAGATCCACGTCTATCTAGATTCAGACATAGTGTTACCTGGTGATGGCTATTGTTAAAGCTGAGGTTCAAAAGAGTGAATGTAGGGATAGGAGAGGAAATAAAAACATTCTCCTAGGTGTAAATTAGGACTCAGGTAAATAAGGAAAGCAAAAGGCCACAGAGCAGCTGCGTTTTCCAGATCTTTGATATGTGAGCTGATGTGGGGCACACATACATTCCATTTTCAGAGTCCACACACAAGTGACCAGACATCCAAAAACAAGTTTTACATTTCAGTTGTGTCATGTGACAGGTGTCTGTCAAAATTAGGTCAAGGCTGCTCTCAGCACACCACTGACCTACAGTGCTGATGAGGTTATTTCTGCTGTCAGTTAGATGTTTCTACCATAAACTTGTCCTAGATAAAGAAAATAAGACTGAAATAAAATATAATATAAACTGGGCTATATTGCCTACAAGCCTCATTATTGATGGTTGACCGAAGGCAATCATCTCTGCTACCTTTCCAGCCTCACATTGTGGCAGAGTCTCCCGTAAGTAAATAAAAGCTAAAGATCAACTCTATCCGAGTTTGTTTCAGAAAACTGTTGTAGTTGCCACTACCAAATTGAGCATTCTCTCTGCAGGCTTTCTGAACACATCAGGACCTCTAGAATCCCTGTGATCCTAAACACTTGAAGTACCAACAGAACAGGCGAGCAACTTTCCCTTCACTTAAAGTTTACTTTAAAGGTTTATACCAAATGCTCTGAAGACATGAGGGGTATGAGTAATAAAACTCCATTGAATCATAAAAATATATATTTCCTCAAAGCACTCTGCATATTATGAGTATACAAGTGTTATGTACACACATATAACTTTGATATTATATACCTATTTTTGTGACACTTTATAATGTATTTTAGTGGCAATTTAAGTTGAAATCTAGTATATTTTCAGCTACAGACACCTTCTAGGAAGGCAAGTTTTACAATTACATATTTTTGTTAAGTTGTATGTAGTCCCATAAAGCATAACATGCCTTTACTTTGAAAAGAATAGCCACCAAGTCCTGGATGGAAAGGTAAGAACTGTGAAAGAATTCAGTCTTCTAAGTTATTGATTGGAGAGGATTTCATTTCTGTAGGTACCATCAGTTTTCTCAGCTCTCCCCCATCCACTGAACATGTTCCACCTTTTGTCCTGCCGCCCTTTCGCCAAATCATAACCTGGGAGAATGCTGAAGGCATAGAGGGTGATAAATTGCTTCATGACAATCTTCACCTTAGAACTAAAAGCAACAACTGCACTAACTATTTAGGTATCTATGACTTGTGAACTTTCAGTCTATGAATTCCAACTGCCTATTTTAACTTAGGGGACTTAATCTTCAAAATTAATAATTACTTTTTACACATGTATAAGAAGATTATCCTTAACTTTTATTTTATAAAACTATAATTTATTGTAGTCTATGAACTTTAGAGTCACAAAAATTAATTTTTCTTCTGCCATGGTAAAATGCACTATGTAATCACATTTTAAGTGAGCATAACTATGGACACAAAGTTTTTTCCTCCAGACTCAGTGGAGCAGTGATATAAAAGTTAACTGAGTTGAGAGAGTTTCAACTGGGTTTCCACATGATTTTCCAGTGGAATCATCTGAGGCTTAGGATTCAGTGCACCCACACATAACTCTGAAATATACTCTTCTGAGTTTGTCTGGAGAATACGCCAAGCTTTCCAATAGCAAGCAAGGCTGAGGTATCAGCATAGAGATTAGGCCTGGCTAAGGGCTCTTGAAGTACATCTGCCTTATACAAAACATCTGAAAATGTCAGACACCAAGGCATAAAAATCACCAAAGTAATTAGACCAGTGATTGTGTCATTGATTGTCACTATAAGTCAATGTTTACCTAATATTTACCTAATGGTAGCAGTGAACATAACATTCAATGGTAGACAGAGAGGGTAGAAATGCCACTCTCCAAAGAATGTATACTCTTTTTTTCAATTGAGAAAAGGCCCTCAACTGTACTTTTCTCAGCTGGTTATATATAATTTAAACCTACTCTCCCCTGTATCTTATGTTACAAACAATAACAAATGCAGTGATAGTCTCGTTGAAAAGAGAAATGGAGTTGGAAGAACTGGATTCAAATTCCAGTTTTGCCACTTACTACACTGAAGCCTTGATATGGTTCGGTTCCTTCTTTAGGAAAAAATTAACACCTACCTCATATAATTGATGTGTTTTGAATATAGTTCAGCATTCACTTAAAGAGGTTTTTAAATTTTCTTTATTCTTCTATAAGTTATAGCCAACCCTTGTATTTTTATTCAAGTTCCTCCTCATGATATTTGATATTTATGGCTTCCAATGATGACTGCTTTAAAGGATGGTATGCATTCACATGCATGTACATGTTCTGATGTTACATTTTTTAAACTCAAACTCCTTTTGTTGCTTTACACCTACTCTCACATGGCAAGATATACTAATAACTCCTGCACTTTTGCAAAGTGTTTCCATTTACCTTTCATGACCCATAAAAACCAACCTTGTGAGAGGTGCAGGATAGGGGTCATTACCCCATTTTGCATACAAAGAAACAAAGCCCAATCAGAAGTTCAGAGGTCACATGAGGGATAACAGAGGCCATTCCTGATTAATCTAATTTTATTTTTATAATTCTAGGACCCTCCCTGCCAACACAATCTCACGTATCTGATTTCATGCAATTCATTTTGTGAGTAACACCAGATAAGAATTGAGTAGGATACTAGTTTAACTATGGGCATAATATTTTTCTCAGTATTGAAGAGTAAAACTAAAGCTTACTCACTAAGATGTTTAATTCAAGCCCCAGTATAAGACACACACATGGTCCAAGTTAGCCCTTGGGGGTGTTCTACCATGAGGTGTTATAAACAGATTTGGACCCAGAGAATTAGAAAGGAAAGGCAGAATGAAGTTTACAACAGCAGCTGCTACATTTAAAAATGTTAGAGCTATTTTAAAATTATTTTCCCTTGCCTGGCTTTCTGGGCCTATAAGTCTCTTTTCCCCCATTCCAACACTCATCCTATTTAAAGATTTTTCAATTAGCATATGAAACCAAAAGGTCAGAATATTTGAGTCTGATACAAATCATTCCTAACTAAAATGATTCTAATATGTGCTTCCACTTCATTAAAACTATTCCGTGAAAATGTGGATATCCTCAAGGATGTATTATTCCAGAATAACTTAAAGTATTATCTATGCTTTATCTATATGCTATTACATTTTAGAATTCAATTTTTAGGAATTACTGTACAAATTTATTGTATATTCTTTGGAAGTGCCTCAGTGATGGAAAAATCTTTGTCTTCTGAGAGTGGATTTGATTTTTGGAAACAATGAAATCCTCTGACTAGTGAGTAAAAGTGAGTGATCTAGCTAGGCAATTCTGCTTGAGATTAAAATAATAAATGTGGCTATAAAATAAAGAGACTGACTTCATTTACAGCATCTACATGCTAGCTCCTCAAACATACCTACCTCAGGACCTTTGAACTTAATGCTCCCACTTCTTTTTATAGCATGGTCTTTTTAAGCCATAAGAGAGTTAAGGGACACTTAAAAAAGGCCTTCCCTGAACACCCTAATGCAGAATGATCTAACTCAACAACCACATTTGTCTAATTCGGGGTTATGTTTGTTCCTTTAATAACAGTTATCACCATTTATTCATTTTTTTGTTTTTTTTTTTGTCTCTTCCTCTGACCCATGCTGTCCAATACAGTAGCCACTAGACACATGTGGCTCTTTAGATTTAAATTCAAGTTGATTATAATTAAGAAGCTTACAGAAAAAAAAAATGACAAATTGTATTTCACCAAAAATAAGAACTTCCGTTCTTTTGAAAGATACTCTTAAGAAAGTAAAAAGACAAGTCACAGACTGGGAGAAAACACAATTAAAATTGGGCAAAATATTTAGACACTTCACCAAAGATAACATATGGATGAAAAATAAGCACGTGAAAAGATGCTCAACATCACTAATCATTGAGGAAATGCAAATCAAAACCATTAGATACCACTTTACATCCATTAAGATGACTGTAATCAAAAAGGCAGATAATAATAAGTACTGGTGAAAATTTGGAGTAGGTGGACTCATATGCACTGCCAGGGGGAATATAAAACCACTTCGGAAAAAACAATGGACAGATTCTTAAAAAGTTCAATATATACCTAAAATATGACCCAGCTATTCCACACCTAAGTATTTACTCCCCCAAAATGAAGTCCATGCAAAGACTTATACATGAATGTTCACAGCAGTTTTGTGATAGCCTAAAACTGGAGATAATCCAAATGCCCATCAACAGATGAATGGATAAATAAATTGTAGTCTAGTCACATGATGGAATGCTGCTCAGCAATGAAATGAACTATCGATACACGCAAAACCATGGATAAACCTCAAAGTAATTGTATTGAATGAAACAAGCCAGACAAAAAAAGAATATAAAGTATGATTACATTTACAAAAAATCTTTGGAAGTGTGAATTAACCTACAGTGAGAGAAAACAGATTAGTGGTTGCCTGGGAATGGGGAGGGAATTAAGGAATTAGAAAGGGACATGAGGAAACTTTGGGGGATGACGAATATATTCCTTAGCTAAACTGTGGAGATGTTTTCACAAGCGTATATATATGTCAAAACTATTAAATTTATATACTTTAAATATGTGCAGTTTATTCTATATCAATTATACTTCAATGAAGCTGTTAAAAAATGTTTAGTTTCTCAGTCATGCCAGCCACATTTCAAGAGCTCAATAGCTACATGTAGCTAGTGGCTACTGAATGGACACTGTAGATAAAGGCGTTCCATCATTACACAATGTACCACTCAGTGGCACTACTCTCCCCTAATTAGGAGAGAGGAAACTACACCACAGAGACTCACCACTTGTTTCTCTAAACGAAGTTTTATTACAACACAGCTATGCCCATTCATTTCTTCATTGTCTATGGCTGCTTTAGCACTATAATGGCAGAACTGAGTAGCCTGTAACAAAGGGCCTACAAACCTTAAATATTTAGTATCTGGTCCTTTAAATAAAGGTTTGCTGACCCTGCTCTGAGCCATAAATTCTGAGGACGGGGCCATATCTGTCCTGTTCACTGCTGTACATAACCCAACTAATATTTACGGAAAATCTAATATATAGCAGACACTATTCTAGGTGCTGGAGAGGCAGCCCTAAGCAATACAGATAAGGTCCCTATTATCATAGTTTTCAATCTGGTGACAGATGTGGGTAACAGATAACAAGCAAGTAAATAAGAAAATATCAGGCCAGGATGAATGCTAAGATGACAATAAAGCAGAAGGTATAGAGAATGACTGAGGAGCACTTCCACTTAGGTAGTCAATGGCAGGCCTCTGCTAGAACCTACGATCTGACAATAATATGAAAGTCAGGACTGCAAAGACCTGGGGCTGAAGCACAGAGAAACACCATCAAGGCCTCAAAATAAGAATGAATTTGATGACTTGAAATATGAAGAGGAAGAAGGCCCATGTGGTTGGAGAATACACAAACAAGGGGGGGATGCATAGATGAGGTGGCAGAAGTAGACAGGGCCAAGAAAAAGGGGTCTGAATTTTATTATAAATGGATGAAAAGCCACTGCAGGATTTTAAGCAGGTAAGCAACATGATTAATTTACATTTTAAAAGATTATTCTGGTGCAAAGTGGTGACTGGATCAAAGAAGGGCAAGAAAGGTGTTAGGCAAGTTAAGACATTTCTGCAAAGGTACAAGTGAGAGATGGCGGCTTGGCTTGGACTACACTGGCAACAGTGGAGATGAAGTGGAGAAATTCAAGACACGTTCGGATTGACAATAGCTTCCCTGATGGATTGGTTGGTGCAGAGAGAGGAAATGAGTTGAAAACGAATCCTAGATTTTTGGCTTGAACAACTGGGACACAAAGGTATGAATTACAGATATAGGGATGTTGCAAACAGTAAGTGCTAACATTTATTAAATGTCTATTATATGTCATTATTCACTGAATTTCACATTTAATCTTCCCAACGATGTTGGAAAGGTAGGTACTGGTTTGTTAATGTGTGAACCTGTTAAGTTTCATAACAAACGACAGCATCTTAAGGACGGTGGCTATGATAAGTAAAAAGAATGTGGGAAAAGAGCGAAGCAACCCTTCATTTATTGGACAAGTATTACTTGATAAATGATAATAAAGCTCCTCTTTAATGCTTCCTCCCTTTGGCAGTGTTATACCCTTAGTAAAAAAAAAAGAAAAAAAGAAAAAACTGTTCAGAAAAATAAATCTTTGATTTTCTTCCAATTCCTTACGTTTACAAAAATAAAATGCTTTAAGTTTTAAAATTTATGTCAGTAAATGTAGGGCTAGCCTGATAAATTCACGTTTTATTTGGGAAGACTTGACTACACACACACACACTCCCTCCATCTCCGAAGGGGAAAAGCGACAAGGACAAACCGCAGCCTCAATACATCAAAGGCTGAGCTGGCACTACAGCCCATACATCATCAAGTTCACGGACACCCCTAGATGGCTCCGTGACACGGTCAAGGTCCTTGGGAACTCCCACACATTTCTATACTCGGCACACCGATCACCTCTCTTCAACTGACCTCTAGCCAACCTAAGATCCTGGTGGGAAGATTTATGAAAGGCAGTAAAATCAAGACAAGCAGGGAACCTGCGTAACCCCTTTAAGTCTCTAATGAAACAAATGCAATCCCTTAAGATATTTCTTAAGGAAAAGCTAGAAGATGCCTCTAATCGCAACTTGTTTCCAGAAAAGCTGGAAGGGCACCACTAAGACAAGGCAAAAAAAAAAAAAAAGGCAAAATATCGGAAAGTCTTATGCTGGAAGCGGGGGTGGGGAGGCGGGGGACAGGCAGACAGGGCTAGAAACACCCAAATCAATTCCTCAGGGAGCGAAACGGCAGAGGCCGGCAGCCCGCGGCCCACGTGCACTTGCTCAGGGAACCGTTCCAGCGAAACCTGACCCGGATCGGAATCCTCCCGCAGCACAGCGGCCGTGTTTATCGGAATGGAACGCTACAAGTTGTCACCTGCATCCCTCTCCCAGCTTTGACAGGGAACACGCGCTGCCCCCACGCCCACACCGACACCCGGATCCCTATCCAGCCCGGCCAGAGTCCCAGGGGCCAGGGACCAGTGCAGGGAGAAGGTCCCCCACCTCAGCCCTCAGGACCCCCAACCACAGCCCACCCGCCCCCACCCTGCTCGGTTCTAGGCCCAGCCGAACCTACATGTCCCCGTAGTGTCGAGCGTTATCATCCACAGTCGCCCCTCAAACTGTGACCCCCACCTGGGAGACCCGGAATCATCCAGGACCCTGGTGTGGGGGGCAGTACTCCCCATATCTGCCCCCCGAAAACTGCTATGGAGCAGCCGCGCCTCGGCGGGCAGGTGAGGGGGCCGAGCCCACCAGCGCCGCAGCCCCGCTGCCTACCTTCTTCAGCGCCGGCTGCCGCTCCCGGGCAGACATCGCCGGCCCTGACTTTGGGGCTGACACCGCCAAAGGGCAGTCAGTGCTCGCCCAGGCCACTTCGGGAGGCCCAGGGGCACGGCGAGGGGTCGGGGAAAGGCGATCGCCCACTACAGCCCGCGCGCCTAGACTGAGGGAGGAGCCGGGCTGCAGAACCGGCGGCGGATGGAGACGGGAGGGAGGCTGCGAGGTCGCTCGAGGAGAGACTAAGGCTCTAGAAACGGAGAAGCGGGCGCTCTGCGGGAGGCGGCGGCGCTGCCGCTGGCCGTCAAGGGCGGGAAGTGTTCTGGGACTCTCATTAGGGGCCGCGAGCCTCGAGCGTCAAATTCCCGCGGCGTCCGCCTAGCGCGCTGCTGTGGCGGGCGCGGAGGGCGCGCGCCGGCAGTGGGGGCTGCGGCGGCGGAGGGCACGGGCCCCCGCTCAGCGTCCTCACCTTCTTGGTGCAGCTGCCTCCCGCGAGCCGAGACACTCCTGTCAGGGAAGAGGAGCGCCCCGGCTGTCCCCCTAGAGTCTCCTGCTGGGGGGACATCGCTTCCATGAAGAAAATCTTCAAACAAATCCCAGCCCAGGAGGAGGCTACACGATCATGTCCGCGGGCTGCCGGCCGGAGGGGCGAGGACGCGCGGGCGGAGGCGCGGCTGCCGTGCTCAGGCAGGGAGCCGAGCTCCGGGTGCTCGCCGCGCGCCTCCCGTCGGGGCCATGTACCTCCGCCTGCGCTCGACACCGCGGGCTGGAGGCGAGTGCAGCGGCGACAGCCCGTCAGCGCCGCGGCCCGCCCCGCCTCGGGCCCGCCCCCTCCGCTCCGGGCGCCCTGCGCCGGGGCCCGCCCCCGCAGCCCTCCTCAGCCCTCCTCCAGCCTGGGCCCTCCTAGCCTCGTCCCAGCCTGCGGCGCGCCTGGCGGGCGTCTCTCTATATATGTTAGCACACCGGCCACCGGCTGACCTTTTCGGTCTGTGACTCCGCGTGGGTGCAGCCCGCAGGAGCTCATCGGCCTGTGTCACGCACGGGGGCCTCTAGTGCACGGACACGCGCCTCTCCCGCCACCTGCCCACTCCCACCAGACCCCATCCCTTCCCGCGCCGTGCCCGCGGCGGAAGGCGCCCCTGCAGCGCGTGCATCCGCGGAGCGGTGGCGACCTCAGCCTGAGCAGAGGAGTTGCAGTGATTCCTGCCTCGCTTTCAGCGGACTGCGGAGGGAATCCCCCACCCCACCCCACTGGGGATAGGGTGGCACGTCGCAGAGTGTCGCAGCTGTACAAATTTGGAAGCCCACAGCATCGCCTGACCTCTTGTGCAATCCCGAACGCTAGCCTGTTCGGGTAACCCTGAGTGGGCTTCTGCAGCCGGTCATGTCAGCGGCCCCTGCACATTTGCACCCGCGGTTTCCGCTGTCTGCAGGCTGCAGAGACGGGGGCATTCCAAACGTGAAAGAGCAATGAAGGAAAATGCAGACAGAGCGAGGACGCCGAAATTTGGCTAAGCTATTGAGAAGGCTACAATATGTGGAAGTGTTTATCAGATATCTGCGCCGAGAGCATAACTTCCTGTCAGCCCAAATAGAGGCAAAAATATTTTAAAGGCCAAAGAATAATCAGAGGGAGAGGATTTGGAGCTGACCCGCGTTGAGCTGAGTGTTGCTGCACTTTGCGGGGCTGGTTGACTGGTACGGATGATTCGGTAGATGGCATTCTTCCCTTGGAGTCAGGACTAGAGAAGCAGTGGCGGATTAGTGAGGAAGGACACCACGCTATGATATTAGGTTGTGGAAGGGGTTTGGTTTGCTTTTGTGGTAAGAAGAAAAAAATCGAGGTTCCTGCCAGGTTAGGCTGTTATTAGGACAGGTTGTAGAAGAATAGGGCTCTGGCCGGCTCTGTTCCAAGGAAGGGATGCTGTCCAACACACACTCGCGCGCGCACACATCACCACCATGCCCAGGAATGGTTTATTGTGGAAATAATAGGGGGAAAATGTTCCAGCCCGTTTTAAGCCTTGTCCACCTCACACTGTTTAAAGTAGGCTTACATAGGCTTTATAAATCACACACACGTATAAATCACACACACGTATAAATCACATGTATGATTTGTAAATCATCTATTATTGTGTTTATGTATGTGTGCATATACACACACAGTTTTTCATGGCTACTCTCTTTTTGCAGCTGAGACCCATGTGCAGCGACAGGACTTTGCCCCCACCATAGAGTTTGTCATGAATTCTACACGCAGAGGGCTTTGCAGTTCCTTTCATTCCTTGCTGAAATCATCCACTTACAACTCGTTAGCCTCTTTTGGTTCCTATCATAAATGCACGCTCCCAATTTTCCTTACTCTGTTTTATTTCGATAACACTTATCTCCTTCTAATATATCATGTAATTTACTTAGTATGTTTAGTGTTTATTATCTATATCTCAGAGAAATGCAAGCTTCCAGAGGGCAGGAATCTTTTGTGGGCTTTTGTTGTTGTTGTTGTTATTGTTGTTCTTTGTCGTATACCAAGTGCTTGAAGCAGTGTCTGGTGCAATAAATGTTCGTTTGCTAAGGGAATTAATGAGGCATACAAGGGTTATGAGATAGATCTTAGAAGGGCCAGACTGGTAGAGTTGGTTGTTTCACTCAGAGTGTCCCATGTTTCTGTTTGTGATCTTCTTTTTTGCACAGGTTTGATCTGTGATCAATACTACATGTTCCAAATCAAAGTAGTATTTTACTGCAGATTTGGAAAACTCACTCTTACTTCTTAATTTTTAAGTGCTTTTACTTCAAAACCCATTAGTTTTGGTTTGCATAGAAAACTGTCCCATACCTAAAGAAAACTGACTTTGCTCAGATTAATGCTATCACCAGAATCGTGTTTTAAGAACACAAATTTGATCACATCACTCCCCTGATTAAACCCTTCTTTGGCTCCTTGTGTTTACAGAATAAATTTCAAATGCCATAGTATGATATGCAAGACTGCCTATAAACAGACATCCTTGCCTCCACTTATTTCTCTTGTCATTTATTGCTCCTCTTCAACTCTCACCCTATTCCCTGTCACATTGAATTCGCCAAGAAGTCACCTTCCAAGAACTCGCCTTGCCTTCTCACATCTTTGTGACTTTGAACCTGCTGTTTGCATTGCGTGGGAAGTTTTCCTTCTATATTTCCAACCCCTATTACTTTACACTTAAATATCTAATACTTGGTGCATAGTAAATGCCCAGTAAATATTTGTTGAGGAAATAAATCTCCCAGATTTGAATCAATAATTACCTTAGAAAAATCTTCCTGACTTTATTTCTCCTTATCTAGCTACCTCCACACACCAACCATACACATGGGGCATCCACTGTAGGTAACATTTATTGATTGCTTACTTAATGCCAGTGAGTACCTGTGGGTAACAGGTAACATTTATTGAGTGCTTACTTAATGCCAGACACTGTTCTAAGCATTTTACACACATTAATTTAGTTATATCTTTATAATCTATGAGGTAGCTTCTTTTACTACCCCATTTTATAGATGAGAAAACCAAGCCACAAGGATATTAAGTAATATGCTCAAACAGCTAGTAAGTAGTCTTGCTGAGCTTAGAACATGGGAAGTCTGCTTCAGAACCTGTGTTCTTAGCCACGTGGCCAACTGCCTCTCCTGTGTGTATTTCTTTGTCTTTATAACACATATTACATTATACCATTACCATCTGTTTTACTTGCCTTGAAATAGAAGATCGTATTTTGTCTTTTCTTCTTTATGCCAGGCACACAAGTATGCTCTCAATGAATTTTTTTTCAATGTCTTACCTTTGAAAGAATGGATGCAATATTAGAAACAACCATCTTCATCTCCATTATTATGCTGTACAGTTTAAGGAAGATACTCTGATGGGAAAGAAACAATTCTGGACTATTCATTAGACTGTGAAACTATTTTCCATGCACTAGGAATGTTATGTTGTAGAAAAGGGTGGTGCCAGAAAACAAAAATGATAAGACAGTTAAGGGAGTGTGATGACCTATGTCTGACAAAAGCAGAAAGTATCCAGAATATTTCGAAACAAATCTTAAAGCAAACTACTAGGAATAGCAACACTTAACAGCTGGGAAATGCCAATAGCAGACCTTTAGCAGAAACTAAGAATGAAACCAAAAGGTTTTGCCAACCATTAGATTAAATAACAGTGAAGAAATTTAACTATAAAAGGAAATGTTTGGGCCAGGTACAGTGACTCATGCCTATAATCTCAGCACTTTAGGAGGTTGAGGAGGGAGAATTGTGTGAGGCCAGAAGTTCAAGACCCTGTCTCTACAAAAAGGAAAAAAAAAATAGTGGGGTGTGGTGGCACATGCCTGTAGTCCCAGCTACTCAGGAGGCTGAGGCAGGAGGATCGCTTGAGCCAAGGAGTTTAAGGTTACAGTGAACTATGATTGTGCCACTGCACTTGAGCCTGAGTGACATAGTGAGACCCTGTTTGTTAATTAAAAAATAAAAAAGATGTTCATGAAACTCATTCATTCAATGATATTTATGTGCAGGATACCGTGCCAGGTGCTTGGGGTACAGTCAAGATGAATCCCCAGAAATAGTCCTTGCAAACCCCAAGATGCACACAAGAATCATTCACTGCTATCTAAATACCCTACATGAGTGATTGCAAACTGATGGCCATCTGGGCGAATTCTGGCTTGTTTTTCAACATATGCACTTTCTTTTCAAACTTATTACTAACCTTAAAAATCAAAATATTTCAAATAGAATTCTGGGTTCTCTTGAAAAAAAAAATCAAGAAATTAACAACATTTAAACTCAACTTCTCCAAGGAGCCAGTCAGCTAAAACTGACTCATAGCTGTGTTATTTCATTAAATGCTCAAAACAACCCTAAGGAAAATGCACTCTCATAGTCATCACTGTCCCTAGTTCTGGGAAACTACAAACAAATAAGGCAATGGAAGGTGAAAAAGTGGCAAGAGACATAGAGAAGAGGCCAGGGAATGAGAAACACAAAGTGGGTGCTTTTTTAAAAAAAGTAAGCCAAAGTAATAGAGTTTTTCAGGAACAGAAACGGTCGACAATATCTTCCGCTGCAAGAGAGTAAGCTGGTAAAGACTAAAGTATAACGAGAAGAGAGAAAGTTGAGACTACTCTTTCAAGAAGCTTGGCCCAGAATGAATATGAGAAAGGGCAGGAGCTATCAGAGGAAGATGGGATCTATTTTATTACTAAATTAGAGGGCAGATCTGTTAAGAGTGAGGCAAGATGTTAGTCTTCACTTGGAAAACAAAGCCAGAAGGAAGTGTGTTTCTAGAAGAAGAAAGTGATCAGTAACGTCAAGAAAGATGACTGAAAAATATCTACTGAATTTATCAACCAGCAGGTCATTGATGAGTTTATCTGGAAAGGCTTGAGTGAAATGAATGGACCAGGGATTTAGAAGAGAGGAAGAAGTGAAGACAGTGAATGTGCACAACTCTCTTGGGAAGTATGATTGGGACAGGGAGGAGAGAGAGCTGAAGAGGATAGGAGTTTGGAGGGAAGCCATATGGGTGTAACTGTAGACATGAGTATATTTAAATAGTGATGGGAAGACATTAGGGGTGACCCAGAAGCTGAAGACACTGGGACCAATGGGATGGGAATGGGACCTCTAGGGCAAAGATAGAGGAGTTAGCCTAGATCAGAGCAAGAGCAGTGCTTTCATTATCATAATAGGAAAGCAGGAAAGAATGAGTGCTAAGATAGAAAGCTCTTCTGATGTGTTCTATTTTCTCTGTAAAATAGGCACTGAATACAGTTTGAGGCTAGGAACTCAAAACATGTGTGTTCCGTTTGTGAATCAGTGAATTCTGCTGGTATTGGGCAGCAGGGCGAATTTAAGGGTTGGAGGAGAGTTGAATGTTCTAAACAGACACTGAAGAATGAGAATAAGCAAGGATAAGTTTGTATTGAGGGCTCAGCTGAAGTATGAAGCCATGAATTTATAATGGACTGCCTACACAGCCTATGGTTTCTCTTCAAGGATTCATTCAAGGAGAAGGTATGCCAGCTGAGTGTGATGAAGAAGAATAATGCAAGAGAGTTGAGAATGGTGGTGAGAGAGCAGTTGATGGGGAAGACCATGGCCTGGGTTCTTCCTCACTCCTTAAAAATCACTAACATGTCTTTCTTCTGGTTTCCTTCTCAAATAATTTTGTGGTCTTATTTCTTTTTTCTTCCAGCCCTGAAACACTCAGGGATTCACCCTCACTCTTCCTGGTGCCCTTGGAAGCCTCTGTGATTTTGCCCTCATTCCTTGCATGTAATACCAACTGAGTCCTTTTTAATTACTTCCCTGACTACCTCCCAAACCTCCCTACTGATCACCCAAACTGACTCACTTATATGCTGATATGATTTGGGTGTGTCCCCACCCAAATCTCATCTTGAATTGTAGCTCCCATAATCCCCACCTGTTGTGGGAAGGACCCAGTGGGAAGTAGTTTAATCATAGGGGCAGGTTTTTCCCATGCTGTTCTCATGATAGTGAATAAGTCTCATGAGATCCGATGGTTTCCTAAAGGGCAGTTTCCCTACACACGCTCTCTTGCCTGCCACCATGTAAGACATGCCTTTGTTGCTCCTTTGCCTTCTACCATGATTGTGAGGCCTCCTCAACCATGTGGAACTGTGATTCCATCAAACCTGTTTTTCTTTATAAATTATCCAGTCTTGAATATGTCTTTATTAGCAGTGTGAAAACAGACTAATACGTATGCCTCGTAAACACGTCAAACTCCAATAGGTCTAAGGCTGAATTAATATTAACTCCTTATCTCCTTCCCTGACCCTTACCAGTTCTCTGTAACTTCCACCATCATCTTCCTCAGTAGCTGAAGCTTAAAACCTTGTGAAAATGACAGATTTTGCTTTATCTTCAAACCTATTCAACAGCCTCTCACCCCACTGCAGCCCAGTCACTCTCATTTGACCACACAATTGACCACCAAGTTCTCTTTACTCTTATTTTGTAAACCTGAGATCTTTCCCTTCATTTTTATTTGCAGCCATACCCACAGAAAATTTCTGTACTCGATTTTTTTTCCTAAAGAGTTTTCTTCCCCCTTTGTGTATTCCTTGGGGGAATAAAAAATGGTGCACTTTGGTGATTCATAAAAAGATAAACACAGAATTACCTTATAACCCAGAAGTTCCACTCAAGTGCTAGGTATATACCTCAAAGAGTAAAAAACAAAGTCTCAAACAGATACTTGTATGCCAGCATTCATTGCATCATTATTCACAATAGCCGAAATGTGGAGACAACTCAACTGTTCATCACCAGATGAATGGATAAATGAAACGTGGTATATACATACGATGGAATATATTCAGCTTTAAATAGGAATGGAGCTTTGATACATGCTACAATATCAATGACCCTTGAAAACATGCTAAGTAAAATAAGCCAGATACAAAGGACAAATATTGTGTGATTCCATTCATATGAAATATAGATATTTCATATTCTAGAGAATAGGCAAATTTATAGAGATAGGAAGTAGGTAAGAGTTTACTAGGAGCTGGGGGAGAGAGGGGTAAGTTATTGCTTAATGATTACAGAGATTCTGTTTGGGGTGAGAAAAGAGTTTTGGAAATGGATGGTGGTGATGGCTGCACAACATTGTGAATAATTAATGCCAATAAACTGTACATTTAAAAATGGTTAAATGACAATAATAACAAAAAGTCTCCTTGCTTATACCCTTGCCTTCCTCTAAGCAATAACACATATTCCATCTTCCTCAAACACCAGTCTGAGCACGTCTGTGTGCTCCTGGAAACCTTCAGTGGCTCTCCATTACTCTCAGTACTCAATCCACACTCACAAAGGTCCTATCACATCTTCCTGCCTGCATCTCAGACATGAATTCTTGCCTATCTCTGACCTGCACTCAAGCTTCTTCCTCGACCCTCAATTCTGCAGAGTACGAAGACAGCTGTGTAGAGCCTAGATGCTTCTCTAACCAGTCTAAGTGACACACAGAAAGCCTCGTGACTTTTTGTCATTTGAGGGCACCAATGGCTCAGCTCTCGGGTATGACTATGAGCCTTGATATAAGAGAGCTTTTGACCTTAAGTAATTCTCAGGACCAAATGTGGAGCTCTCTTTCTCTTTCTTTTATTGGAATATCAAAAGGGGCTATTTCCTCAAAACACATAATCCCATTTATAAGAGAGGAAGTTTATAGGCTGGAGTTAGGGAACAGAGAGGAGGAAGAAAGGAGAAAAGGGAGTATAAGAGAGAGGGTGTTTGGAGTGAGGGCTGGAAAAAGAGCTTGGGGTCACACTGTGAAGGACCTTGGATTCCATGGTGAAAATCTGGACATTATTTTCCAGGGAAAGTGGTAGACAGCAGACTGGCATTTGATGAGTGCCTGCCATGTGTTAGGTATACCTTACATACTTCATTGTTACCAAAAAGGTAGGTATTATTATACTCATTTGAAATATGAAGATGAGGTTCAGAGAAGCTAAGTGACTTTCTGAAGTCACGCAATCAATAAGTGGCAGAGCCAAGATTTGAATTCAGATCTGATTGGGTTCAAAACGTATATGCTTACAATATCAACAGTGTTACAGTATTAATAATAGCTGCCATTCATTGGTATTTAACTTTGAAGGATAGGGAGATATAAATTTGGCAGTTAAACACTGTTCTAAGTACTTTATACACTACCATCATCTTCAAAAACAACTCTAATGGCTTGTATTTTTAAGCCCAGTATACAAATGAAGAGCCATGTACTTAGAGATATTAAGCCACTTGTCAAAGATCATATAGCTACTGAGCAAAAGAGCCAGATTCAGACCCAGGACACCAAAGCCCATGTTCTTAACTACTAAGACTTGATGGTACAGTCTTCTTTTTGTTCCTTATAACTGGAGAGCATCATAAATTGTGTTGCACTCATTTTCATGTGACATAAAACTAAATACGACCCCAAACCCTCCTCCTTAGTCCACGAACAGCTTGCTTGCTGGTCAGAGGCTTAGCCTCATCATTTTAAAAATGTATTTTACAAAGTAACTTGATATTTTAACAAGAAACAGCAACAAGGAGGAGGAATGTCTGTTTTCCATCAAAGTTCAGATTGCTCTGTGAACCAGACCAAATTAATTAACTATTCATCATTTATTGTCTACTGCATGCCTCATGCTCTTGCCCATTCTTTAATGTGACACTTCTCTCTCTCACACAAATCACTTTGGGTTTCTTTTCTTTTTCCTTTTGGTTTTTCCTAGGCATTTCGATTGCCTGGATGTTTGTTAGTTCTGTCTATGTTTATGTTGTAATCCTCTCCAGAGATTTGTGGAAATAGCCCTTGTAACCATACTCCTAATTCACTGCCATATTTGCTGCAAGGTTGATTATTGTCTGTGCTGATATGGTAGAGTTAGGGAGCTTGGTCCCATGAGTAAATTTAGTGAGTTGTGCAAGATTGTTCAGCTTAATAAGTGGTAGAGCAGCATTCCAATCCAGTTCTGACTCTCAAAAATATAAGACTTCAATCCTTTTCCTTAAATCCTACTTAAGTTACAAGTAAAAATAAACTGTTGCATATTTTCAATAGAAAATAACAAAAAATGATATTGATAATTTTAAAAAGCACTATTTTAAAATGCTTACATCAAATAAAAGAGAGATAAGAAATTAGATACAGGCATTCTGAAAGATTTTTTACTTTAAAGCATATTTCGCCAAGTGTGCTATAGGGAACAGGAATCCCTTACGATGCTTTACAAAATAGGGTTCCAGAGTCAAACAGATTTTGCAAATACTGCCCATGTGACAATTATAATGTATATTATAAAATGTGTATATTAAAATCATTTATATATTCTGCAAAGAAACACTCCTAAATTCCTTCTTAATTTTTTCTTCTATGTAATTAATGTACTAATATAGTCCTAACTGTATTAGTATGTTGTTACCAAAAAGGTAGGTATTATTATATTCATTTGAAATATGAAGATGAGGTTCAGAGAAGCTAAGGGACTTTCTAAAGTAACGCAATCAATAAGTGGCAGGGCCAAAATGTCTATATCTATATCTATGCTATCTCTCTCTATATATATCTTGGTATCTATATATCTATATATCTATATATATATGTGTATATCTTGGTATATATATACTATATATAGTTAGTACTAATATAGTTAACGTGATAATATAGTCCCATCAGCAATACTGCTAGTTACACAATGAATTTTCTCTTTTTTAAAAACTGTTATTTTAAATTTAAAGGTACATGTGCAGGTTTGTTACACAGGTAAACTTGTGTCATGAGGGTTTGTTGTATAGATCATTTCATCACCCAAGTATTAAGCCTAGTACCTATTAGTTGTTTTTTTCAATCTTCTCCCTCTTCCCACCCTCCACCCTCCAAAAGGCCCCAGGGTGTGTTGCTGCCCTCCATGTGTCCGTGTGTTCTCATCATTTAGCTCCCACTTTTAAGTAAGAGCACTTGGTATTTGGTTTTCTGTTCCTGTGTTAGTTTGCCAAGGATAATCACATCCAGCTCTGTATGTCTCCGCAAAGAATATGATCTCATTTCTTTTTATGACTGCATACTATTCCATGGTGTATATGTGTTAATACCACATTGTCTTTTTTCAGTCTATCATTGATGGGGATTTAGGTTGCTTCTATGTCTTTGCTATTATGAATAGTGCTGCAATGAGCATACATGTGCATGTGTCTTTACAATAGAATGATTTCTATTCCTGTTTGTATGTACCTAGTAATGGGATTGCTGGGTCAAATGGTATTTCTTTCTTTAGGTTTTTGAGGAATCACCACACTGTCTTCCACAATGGTGGAACTAATTTGCACTTCTACCAACAGTGTATAAGCATTGCTTTTTCTCCACAACCTCGTCAGCATCTGTTACATTTTGACTTTTTAATAATAGCCATTCTAACTGGTGTGAGATGGTCTCATTGTGGTTTTGATTTGCATTTCTCTAAAGATCAGTGATGTTGAGCTTTTACTCATATGATTGTTGGTCACACATATGTCTTCTTTTGAGAAGTGTCTGTTGATGTCTTTTGCCCACTTTTTAATGTTTTTTTTCTTGTAAATTTGTTTAAGTTCCTTATAGATGCTGGATATTAGATCTTTGTCAGATGCCTAGTTTGTTTGCAGAAATTTTCTCCCATTCTGTAGGTTTTCTGATTATTCTATTGATAGTTTCTTTTGCTGTGTAGAAGTTCTTTAATTTAATTATATTCCATTTGTCAATTTTTGCTTTTGTTGCAATTGCTTTTGGCATCTTCATTATGAAATCTTTGCCTGTACCTATGTCTTGAATGGTATTGCCTAGGTTGTCTTCCAGGGTTTTTATAGTTTTGGGTTTTATATTTAAGTCTGTAATTCATCTTGAGTTAATTTTTGTATATGGTGTAAGGAAGGGTCCAATTTTACTCTTCTGCATAGGGCCAGCCCATTCTCCCAGCACCATTTATTGAATAGGGAATCCTTTCCGCATTGCTTGTTTTTTTCAGGATTGTCGAAGATTGGATAGTTGTAGGTGTGCAGTCTTATTTTCAGTTTCTTCATTTTGTCTCATTTGTCTAAGTATCTGTTCTTGTACCACTACCATGCTATTTTGGTTATTGTAGCCCTCTAGTATGGTTTGAGGTTGAGTAATGTGATGGCTACAGCTTTGTTCTTTTTGCTTAGGATTGCCTTGGCTATTTGGGCTCTGTTTTCATTCCATATGAATTTTAACATAGTTTTTTTTTCTAGTTCTACACAATGAATTTTAATGGAATGGGGATGGGAGAATGGGGTATGCTCTCATTTAATCAATTTCTCTCCATTGGTTTCTTTATTTTGGCACCAAATATACTTAAGTCTTTACAACTTTTTTAATATTTTTTTTTCAAACGACTTTACTTTTTAGTGTAGTTTTAGCTTTACAGCAAAACTGAGAGGGAAATACAGAGATTTTTCCTCTACCTCCCCTCCCTTACACATACATAGCCTCCCTCATTATCAGCATCCGTCACCAGAGTGGTATATTTGTTACAACTGATGAACACACCTTGACAAATCATAATCATTCAAAGTCCATAGTTCACCTTAGGATTCACTCTTTGTGTGGTACATTGATTTCCTATTTTCTTAATGATTTCCTGTTTTCAATTTCATTGATTTCTGCACTAGTTCTTATTCTTTCTTTTCTTCTGCTTGCTTTAGATTTAATTTCCTGTTCTTTTTCTAGTTTCCTAACGCAGAAACTTAGATTTTCAATCTTTCTTTTTTTCTATTATAGATACCCCAATGCTGTAAATTTCCCTCTAAGCACTAATTTTGCTGCATCTCACAAATTTTGATAAATTGCATTTTCATTTTTATTTAGTTCAAAATACTTTAAATTTTTTTGAGGTTTCTTTTTTGACCATGGTGTTATTTATTATAAATGTGTTATTTAATCATGTTTGGTATTTCATAGTTATCTTTCTGTTCTGTTTAATTCCATTGTGATCTGAGAACAGACATTGTATAATTTCCATTTGTGTAGATTTGTTAAGGTGTATTTAATGGCCCAGAGTGTGGTTTATCTTGGTGAATGTTCCATGTGAGCTTGAGAAGAATGTGTATTCTGCTGTGTTTGGTTGATGGAGTTTATAGAAGTCCATTCTATCCAGTTGATTGATATGCCCTTACTGATTTTCTGCCTTATGGATCTATCCATTTCTGAGAGGAGTGTGTTGAAGTCTCCAACTATGATAGCAGATTCATCTGGTTCTCCTTTCAGTTCTGTCATATTTTTTGCCTCACATGGTTTGACGCTCTGTCGTTAGACATATACATGTTAAGGATTGTTCTGTCTTCTTGGAGAATTGACTGACACCTTTATTATTATGCAATACTCTTTTTTATCTCTAATGTTCCTTGCTTTAAAGTCTTACTTGTCTGAAATTAATGTAACTACTCCTGCTTTCTTTCAATTAATGTTAGCATGGTATGTTTTTCTCCATCTATTTACTTTTAATTAGTATGTGTCTTTATATTTAAAGTGGGCTTATTATAGACAACATAAAGTGGAGTATTTTTTAAAAAATAACCGTGACGATCTCTGTCCTTTTTTTCTTTTTTCATCATACTTTAAGTTCTGGGGTACATGTGCAGAATATGCAGGTTTGTTACATAGTTATACACGTGCCACAGTCTTTTGCTGCACCCATCAACCCGTCATCTACATTAGGTATTCCTCCTAATGCTATCCCTCCCCTAGCCCCCAACCCCCGACAGGCCCTGGTGTGTGATATTCCCCTCCCTGTGTCCATGTGCTCTCATTGTTCAACTCCCACTTATCAGTGAGAACATACGGTGTTTGGTTTTCTGTTCTTGTGTTAGTTTGCTGAGAATGATGGTTTCCAGCTTCATCCATGTCCCTGCAAAGGACATGAACTCATTTATGTCTGCATAGTATTCCGTGGTATATATGTGCCACATTTCCTTTATCCAGTCTATCACTGATGGACATGTGGGTTGGTTCCAAGTCTTTGCTATTGTGAACAGTGCTACAATAAACATATATGTGCATATGTCTTTGTAGTAGAATGATTTATAATCCTTTGGGTATATACCCAGTAATGGGATTACTGGGTCAAATGGTATTTCTGGTTCTAGATCCTTGAGGAATCGCCACACTGTCTCCCACAATGACTGAACTAATTTACACTCCCACCAACAGTGTAAAAGCATTCCTTGGCCAGGTGCAGTTGCTCACACCTGTAATCCCAGCACTTTGGGAGGCTGAGGCAGGTGGATCATGAGGTGAAGAGATGGAGACCATCCTGGCCAACATGGTGAAACCCTGTCTCTACTAAAGATACAAAAAATTAGCCAGGCGTGGTGGCGGGCGCCTGTAGTCCAAGCTACTCAGGAGGCTGAGGCAGGAGAATCACTTGAACCAGGGAAGTGGAGGTTGCAGTGAGCCAAGATTGCGCCACTGCACTCCAGCCTGGTGACAGACTGAGACTCCAGTTATTTCCTGACTTTTTAATGATCGCCATTCTAACTGGTGTGAGATGGTATCTCATTGTGGCTTTGATTTGCATTTCTCTAATAACCAGTGATGATGAGCTTTTTTTCATGTTTGTTGGGCACATAAATGTCTTCTTTTGAGAAATGTCTGTTCATATCCTTCACCCACTTTTGATGGGGTTGTTTTTTTCTTGTAAATTTGTTTAAGTTCTTTGTAGATTCTGGATATTAGCCCTTTGTCAGATGGATAGATTACAAAGATTTTCTCCCATTCTGTAGGTTGCCTGTTCACTCTGATGATAGTTTTTTTTTTGCTGTGCAGAAGTTCTTTAGTTTAATTAGATCCCATTTGTCAATTTTGGCTTCCATTGCCATTGCTTTTGGTGTTTTAGTCATGAAGTCTTTGCCCATGCCTATGTCCTGAATGGTACTGCCTAGGTTTTCTTCTGGGGTTTTTATGGCTTGGGATTTTACATTTAAGTCTTTAATCCATTTTGAGTTAAATTTTGAATAAGGTGTAAGAAAGGGGTCCAGTTTCTGTCTTCTGCATATGGCTAGTCAGTTTTCCCAACATCATTTATTAAATAGAGAATTGTTTCCCCACTGCTTGTTTTTGTCAGGTTTGTCAAAGATCAGATGGTTGTAGATGAGTGGTGTTACTTCTGAGGCCTCTGTTCTGTTCCATTGGTCTATATATCTGTTTTGGTACCAGTACCATGCTGTTTTGATTACTGTAGCCTTGTAGTATAGTTTGAAGACAGGTAGAGTGATGCCTCCAGCTTTGTTCTTTTTGCTTAGGGACAATCTCTGTGTTTTAATTGGTATGTTTAGACCACTGATGTTTGAAACGATTATTGATATAGTTGAATTAATATCTACCATACTTGTTACTGTTTTCTATTTGTTGCCCTTGTTCATTTTTTCTATTTATATCTTCCACTCTTTTGTAATTTTGACTGAGCATTTTGCATGACTCAATTTTCTCTTCTTTCTTAGTATATATATTTATATATATACTAAGCTATATTTCTTTTTTTAAACTTTTTAAAACAGTCATCCTAGAGCTTTACAACATATATATTTACAAGTAATCCAATTTCACTTTCAAACAACACTGTATTGCTTTATGGTTAGCACCAGTACTTTATAATTAAAAAATAATTATAATTCTTCCCTCCTGTCAATTATATCATTGCTGTCATTTATTTTTCTTATATATGCATATATATGATATATATATACATAAGTGTGTCTAATAGTACTATTATTTTGAATAAGCTGTTATTTGTTAGATCAATTAAGCCCAAGAATATAAAGTTTTTATTTTACCTTCCCTTATTCCTTCTTTGATGCTCTTCCTTTCTTTACCTAAATCCAAGTTTCTGGCCTAAATTATTTTCCTTCACTCTAAAGAACTCTTTTAACATTTCCCATAAGGCAAATTGCAGGAAATTCCTACTGGCAAGAAATTCCTTCAGTTTTATTTATCTGAGAATGTACTTATTTCGCTTTCATAGTTCAAGAATAATTTTACAAGGTACAGAATTCTAAGTTGGCATTTTTTTTTCTTTCAGCACTTTACATATTTTACTCCATTCTCTCCTTGCTTACATTGTTTCTGAGGAAAAGTTGGATGCCATTTTTATAATCATTGGCTCTCTGTAGGTAAGTTGTTTATTTTCTCTGGCTTCTTTCAGCATTTTTTCCTTACTTTTTTTAAATTTAATTTTTTTTGCATTTATCCTGTTTGGTGTTCTCTGACCTTCCTGGATCTGTGGTTTGATCTCTGACACTAATTTGGGGAGATTCTCAGTCATTATTTCTAAAAACATTTCTGCTGTTCCTATCTCTTTTTCTTTTCCTTCTGATATTACCGTTACATGTATGTTACACCTTTTGGAGTAGTCCCATAGTCCTTGGGTATTCTATGCTGTTTTTTCAGTCTTTATCTTTGTTTTTCACCTTTGAAAGTTTCCACTGATATATCCTCAAGCTGAGATTCTTTCCTTAGCTATGTCCAGTCTACCAATAAGCCCATCAAAGGAATTCTTCACTTTATTAGAGTGTTTTTGATCTTTAAATTTTTTGTGTGGGTTCTTTCTTAGGATTTTCATCTCTTTGCTTACATTGCCCAACTGTTCTTGCATGCTGTCTACTTTATCCATTAGAGTTCTTAGTATATTAATTATATTTGCTTTAAATTCCTTCTTCTAATCATTCCAATATCTCTGCCATGTCTGGTTCTGATGCTTCTCCTATCTCTTCAAATTCTGCTCTTTGCTTCTTAGTGTATCTTTTAAGTTTTGTTGATAGTCAGACATCATGTACTGGATAAAAGGAACTGTTATAAATAGGTCTTTACAATATAATGGAAAGGGGTGATGTAATGAAAGAGGGGAAGCATCAGTACTATGACTAGATTTCAGTCGTTTGGTGATCTTATACCTCTGGACTGTGAACTTCACAAATGCTTCTCAGTTTCCTTTTTCTCCCTTAGGTGGGGCAGAATGGCTAGAATAGGTTGGAGTTGAGCATTTACCTTCTTCCAGGTGGAATGCTAGAGGTGACTCAAGTTGGGTATTTCCTTCCCCGCGAATCCTTAAGGCCCTGTTAATACTCCAGCAGGTTAGACTCTGGTTAACTAATTTTCCTGAGGGCAGAACTTGTTAAGAAGAACAGAGTGTTCTGCCATATTTTAAATCCTTCTTTTGCCAGAAGCATGAGGGGATTTTTTTTTCTGATGTTTACTATGAGGACATGGTCAAGAGCCTGGAGGTAGAACTCATGAAAATGTGGAGGCCTCTCCAAGACTTGGACCCCTGGAGATTTAAGTCTCATCCTTGTCTGCACTGGGATTCCAGCAATTTGTTAACTACAGTTCAGGTTTTCCTAACCCAGTAATTGTTCCTATGGCAGTTTCCACTTGTGAGACTGACTCAGCTCCAATTAAACTGTGACTCCCCATGTTTGCCTCTCTGTCTGTCCAACCTTGCAGCAAGCAGTTTCCTCTGTGTCCTTTCCCCTCTCTGGATCCAAGAAGAGTTGTTGATTTTTTCCCCCTCTGTTCAGCTTTTTAATTGTTGTTAGAGTGGGGTGGCTATTTCCAAGCTCCTTCCATGTGGAACCAGAAACCAGAAATCCAGGTTTTCATTATTCTAAAATAAAACTTTTTTTGCAGCATTCTTCCCTCTTGAGTTATCACTTACTAACTTCCCTCCACTTTCTTTTTCCGTTCGTTGCCAACTTTTTGAGAAAGGAATTCATATTCATTGCCTCTACTTTTTCATTGCCTTCCCTTCTTGCTAACATGAATCCCTTCTATGATTTCCCAATGATCAAACGCAATAACTTTCACAATCAAGTTAAGGATGACTCTTAGTAGCATATGACTTGCCATTCTTCTCTTGGCAGCTATGAAACTATATGTCTCTTTTACTCATTCATTCATTAATTCACTCACTTCACAAGTATATATAGGCTATCCAGGTTGTGTTAGCCACCATCTTAGGCATTGAAGGTATAAAATGAACAATTTAGATGTGCTTTCTATCCTTCTAAAGCCTGAATTTAGTTGTGCTCCTATTTCTCTGACTTCTTTTTGATGTCTTCACTGGATCCTCTTTTCCTGCCAATATGTTTAATGTAGGCATCTCCTAAAGTCCTGTCATTTCTCTTTTCCTACCACATATGTGGGCAAAGACATGTGCACACAAACTGCACACATGCACACACACATATACATTCAAGATGTTGAGGAACAGAAACATGACTTCAGATCCCATAAACGTTTGTTGAAAATGTGAATTTATGATTTTCCTAATACTGGATATAACTATAGCACTTGTATTACTCTTATTCTTACTCAAAATGAGGACTGTTCTATGATCTACGAATGAAACAGAGAGGGTTTGTTTTGTTTCCTGTGATAAATAGGTATGTGTTGAGTGAGTGAAAGGCAGAAGTGGATTTCAGAGGACTGTATCATTTATATGAAAAATAACTGAAGCAATTAGCAAATAATTATTGAGAACAGTTCAGTTTCCTGTTAAGAAGTGCTTAAAAGTGTAGCAAATTATAATTTTATCATAGAATTTTTCTTCCAAAGCATATCACAAAATAAGCAAAAAGAATTTGTTTGTTTGTTTGTTTGTTTTTAATCTCCTATAGCCACCAAAGAAGGAAAGGAGCATACCCTAAGCTTGAAGTTCTCAAGCATTCAAACCACTATGGGAGCTTTTAAGAATAATATTTGGGCCTGGCGCGGTGGCTCACACCTGCAATCCCAGCAGTTTGGGAGGCCTAGGTGGGTGGATCACCTGAAGTCAGGAGTTCGAGACCAGCCTGGCCAATATGGCGAAACCCCATCTATATTAAAAATACAAAAATTAGCCAGTCTTGGTGGTGGGTGCCTGTAACTCCAGGTACTCGAGAGTCTGAGGCAGGAGGATTGCTTGAACCCAGGAGGCGGAGGTTGCAGTGAGCCGAGATCATGCCACTGTACTCCAGCCTGGGTGATGGAGTAAGACTCCGTCTCAAAAAAATAAATAAATAAATAATAATAATATTTGGGTTTTTTCCATCAGAGATTCTGATTTAATTTGTCTGGGGTACAACCTGAACATCAAAATCTTTAAGCTTCAGGAATTTTTAAAGCTGCAAAGGTTCATCCAAAGTTAAAATCCATTGACCTAAGCCAAAATTTCAAAACCTGGTTACTTAGAGGGGAAACAATTCTGTAGAGTAGTAAAGAACAGTAATAGGGCTGCATTCTTCATCTCACTTCAAATCCTAGAGAATGAACTTCTGAAATGGCTAAATATAATTCTGCCCAATATTGCCTAATCTACAAAAAAAAAACCCAACAAAATGAGTAAGCATTTTCATTTATTTTTTCCTTATGATCAATAATTAGCATGAACTGCAGCTGGAGAGAAATAGGTGATAAAAAAATGAATGGTAAAGCTGCTTCTCTTATGGGAAGGAGGACTCTAGGCTATACATCAGTTCAAAGAGTGATCCAAAACTTGAAGGTCTTCTCCCACTAGAATAGTATACCATCCTTCACCCCAACCAGAAGCAGAGAATCCCAGTATAGAACATATAATAAAATCTCAGAAGAGATAGAAAAAAATGAGCAAGATGAAACAAAATGGCATGGCAACTATACAAAAATATAATAGCACAACGTGAAATCATGCATTGCATGCAAAAGAAAGAGACCAACCTAAATGCAAATATAACCTAATGGAACAGGAAGTAATTCTTTATAAAGGCTGCCTTCTATAGAACAAGTTAAGTAATGAAACAAGTGTTCAAAGATGAGATGACATATGAAATGAAGAGAGGTTTCATACATGAGAAGATAAAATGAGAACCAAAAGCAATCAAATAAATTAAACACAAAAATTTAATCTGAGGATTAAAAAAGTCATCCTGTGTTCTTGGTAAATTTCATACTTAGCATCAAGACTTATCTTTATTAAACTGTTACACTTCAAGGTTTCATGACGGCAGGGAGTTTTTTTTTTTTTTTTTTTTTTTTTTTTTTTATGCTGCGGTATCACCAATGCCTAAAACTGTGTCTGGCAAATTGTAGGTACTTAGTGAATATTCGTTGCATGCATAAAAGGATGAGGAACTTCAGATTTCTCTGCAGCCAGAAGAAAACAGATTAATGGAAGTTTTGAGAGTAAAAGTGATTCCAGAATTATACCCATCCAAAATAGTATTCTGAAATAAAGGCAGCAAACAGATATTATCAAATGTAATACAATATGGGGAACACAGCATTATTGAAAAAAGATCTTGAAATATAAATCTAGCCAGCTAAGAGATGAATCAAATAATTCATGAATGTAGAAACCATAGTAAAAAGACTTGTGGGTAAGCATTGAATCAACTTAAGTATAAAACCAATATAAAATATGTCAGGTATTATGGTAACAGGAGAAGACGCAAAAATAGTAAAATATTAACAATGTAAAGATAAAAAAGAACTAAAAACTTTTTGAGAGATCAGAGGAGTAGAGAGGGAAAGAAGACTTAGTCTTCTTTAAAGCATAGCATCAATGGATATTGAATAAAATGGATAATTGTAGGTTTTAAAAAATATGACAGATTTTATTAATATTTCATACTCTTTTTTTAACCCTCATTTCCCACATTAAACCTTAAAGAGCTCTTTTGGAAAATAATATCTTTTGAGGAGAAATATTTTATTTGAATATGACATTCCTTCAATTTACTTGTTTTCTTTTAAAAAATTCCAAGAAAATAGAATTTTTTTTTTTTTTTTTTTTTTTGAGATGGAGTCACCGAGGCTGGAATGCAGTGGTGCGATCTCGGCTCACTGCAACCTCTGCCTCCTGGGTTCAAGCAATTCTCCTGCCTCAGCCTCCCAAGTAGCTGGGACAACAGGCTCCCACCACCACACCCAGCTAATTTTTGTATTTTTAGTAGAGACGTAGTCTTGCCATAATGGCCAGGCTGGTCTCGAACTCCTGACCTTGTGATCCGCCTGCCTCGGCCTCTCAAAATGCTGGGATTACAGGTGTGAGGCACCACGCCTGGCCCATTTAATTTTTAAGTAATTTCTCCATCCATTCATCCATCCATTCATCAATACATACATGTTTTAGTCTGTCTCTCTGTAGTTGTATAGAAAATATCCTGAATTATCTTCTCCTAATATTAACAATAGTAATTTCTGGGTAGTGGAGTTTAAAGTGATTTTAAAACTTTTAGTCTTCTGGATTGCTTGATATCTTATACTTACTTAGCATGTATCATCTTTTTAAAAGAATAGAGTTATTTTTCTTTAGAGTGAAGAAAGAAAAATAAAAGTTAATCTGCTAAGATGTTAACAGTAATTAATGCTGGGTATGGAAATCTCTTATTTTCATTTTCTTATTGTACTTAACTTTTTTTGTTTCTAAAAAGTGTTAGTGAAAGATTTTTTAAAAAGTCTTTACAAACTTGTTTAGTAAACAAAAGCAGTTACAAATGGGCATATTATGTAAGTTTCACTCTTCAGAATGAAATTTAAAATGAATTTTTCTCTAGGTTCCTTAATTTTAATAGTGGAGAGTTTGATAGTTAAATTGATGTTTAGTAAGAATAATCACAAGATCGCATTTGGGAACTGAAGGGAAAGGGAAAAAGGCAATGGTCATTTCACGAATGCCTACTGTGTCCTCAGCAATGGACTAAGTCCTTTATTATCTCATGTAGTCTTCACAAAAAACCCAGGAGATGGGCACTATTATTATTCCTGCTTTTAGAAATGAGGAATCTGAGGTTTTGAGACAGTAAATCACTTGCCAGGATTGTGTGAGGCAGGATTCTAACCCAAATTGTATAACTTCAAAGCCCATTGCATTCATTCTCTCATTTAATTCTCATAATCTTTGGAGAATTTTCCCCCTTTAGATCAGGAAACTGAAATGTTAAAAGGTAAAATAATTTCCCCAAATCACATGACAGAGCCACCACTTATGGGCTTTCCAGGGAGAGAGAGTGTGTGCGTGTGTGGTGTATGTGTGTACAATCACATATATGCTACTGCAGAAACCGTATTTTATTTAAAAATTATTACTTTGATTTGATTTCTATCCATTTTTCTCTCCTCTTCACCCTTGCTTGGGAAATATGCTACGCAGAGAAATCATGATTCCTAAGACTTTCCTTAACAACCCTAGTAAACCTAGTAAACATGCCGAAGGCAATTTTCTTTCAAGATCAGAGCTCGCTTTGTGATTACAGAGCTTGTGGTTCTAGATGCGCTCCAGAAGTGAAAGAAACTAGAGAAGGGCAGAGAGTGTGAGGTTCTCACAGCATAACTAAACGCTACTTCTCTACTTAGTTCTTCAGCCTGGAAATATTTTTTGTCCTGAGGAAAACAAACAAACAAAAAAATCTTAATAAACTGTTTTTTTCTACCTGTTCAGATACTTCATTACTCTTTCTTTCTTTTCTTTCTTTTTTTAAGGCATATTCATACATACACAATTTTAAGATTTAGAATAAAAAGTTTCTACTGAAAGATGGACAGATCAGGAAATGTTTTACAGTATAATTCTGTGAAGCAGTAGCCAAGTGCTGTGTTTGTGAATTAGAAAATAGAAAGTAACCTTGACAAGGCAATTGCTTGGAGATAGGTTCTGTGAAAATAAAAAAAGTTTGATACGTGTACAGAATATACTACAGTCAAATTACTTCAGCAATGAGCAAATAAATGAATATAGCTTTTATTTTCATGAATGAAACGGACATAGTGGTTAGTAATGTATACTCTGATTTATCCTACGTGTGATAAACCCACATTCTGAGGGAATGGGCAGTGGAAAGAAACTCCTACCATGATTTGAATTTGTTCTTTAGTTTCTTGGAGAGAATGACATGCCTTCCAAGAATCATAAATCGGAAAAAATAAATCAGAGATGCTTCTCTGAAATTTTAAAACTAAAAAAACTTAAAACAAATTATTCTGCAAGCAAAATAGTAAATTTAGATTATCCAGTAACGGATCCAGCATTTAATTAATCCCAAACTGCAGATTATCTAAAAAGCAATTTATATTTGGTTTAGAAATGTGTTAATTTTTTGTAATACCAGTAGAGTTTCTTTGCTAATTGTCCTATATTTAGATTAATGTTAAAATGGATCTGATTTCCTACAATAGTGAATGTTGACTGCCTGATTCAGGGAGGCAACTGATCTAGGATTATAGCTTTGCAAATAGATTCTTCTCTGGGTAGCAATTAACCTTGAATCTGTTCACTTCATTACTTTCATACCTAGAAGTAGGTTGGGCTAACAACAGCATTTTATGAAATGATCATTTGAAGAGACATTTTATAGTTGATTTAAAGTATGAATTATAAAAATGGCTTTATTCCAAAACAATCAAGAAAAATACCTGCTGGGGAGGAACAAGTAGCTAGTCCATAAAAATATTCTTAATCTCCACAAGCATATTTATATGATTTTTTTCAGTCACTGTACATTTTAGGCATTTTCATGTACAATATTGCTATCCAATAACTCTTGACTACCTAGCATTTTATTTATGCTAGAAACTTATTTAGCCTCAACAATACAAATTCAAAATCACCTAAATTTATGAATTTGCTCCTGGCACTTTCCTTCTGAGAACCATTAATCCAAATCAGGGAACCTCTGTTCTTAGAGATCTTAAGTTTGCTTCCTGGCTCCATACCCTACGTCTTAACTATGTAAACATGGGCAAATTACTTAACTGCTCTGTACTTCAATTTAGACATATTTAATACCTCAAGGGTTTGTTGACTTGGTATATATGAGATGAATGTAGGTACAAGCATGTTGTGTAATGCAAAGCACTACACAAATGGTATTATTATGATCTTCTGTTTAACGTAGATGTTAATGTCCTGGAACCTTAGTTCTAGGTTAGGGGCCACAAGTTAATTCTGGAGTTCCTTGACTCTCTAAGCCTTGGGACAGGCACAGGATCTCCTGAGAGGAGAAGCAGAGGAGGGGAGGAGGAGAAGAAGGGGAGAAGGGATTCTTTCGTCTTTCCCAAGCCATATAAAAAGACCTTACAAAACCAGAGTATGCAAATATGAGTGAAACAACATGAATTCACATCCCTGTAAATTAAATTTGCCAGGACATTTCTTTCCTATGTGGGCTTTCTTTCCTATTATTAAGGCACTGTAGGCTGTTTCTACGGCTCCAGTGATAAAACATGGCAATGTTAAATTACTGAATGGCACCATAACTCAAAGAACAGAGCAGGAAGTGAAGACTGATGAGAAAAGAAAATACTTATGTTTACACATGGAAATGCTTTAGTAATGAGTGAAAAAAATGGAAAGAAATACAATATACATGATTGTTTAATGGGGTTTTTAGCAAATTAAATTTGCAGACATGTGCTTAAGCATGTGGCATTGCTTAAGGGCTTGCTTCATCAGGTTAGGTGATCAGACAGAGCCTTTGTTTGCACACTGTGTGTTGCAGGGAAGGGAGAGAAATACACATTCATTTTCTGAGGATCATATGATTGCTGAATTAAAGTACCAATATATTTTCTTTTAAGTCCTTTGGTTAGAAAGAAATGTTAGGCATCATCCACACTGAATCCAAGGACAAGGTGAGAAAATAATGCTCTGTAGAAAGGAGTCATCAAATGAAGACATATGCAATGTATCACAGACTGTGTTGCTATAGGCACACTGTTGCTCTGTAGGAGGATGTTAAGAGGAGTCAAGATAAAATTACAGCTGATACAGCATTTTTATGTTATCTTGACAAGAGCAACAGCAGGATTTAGCTTAACCAAATATTAACACTCTTTCCAAATGCTAATGAAATACAAGTACAGAAATTGGAGGATTCTGAATTTAAGTATTTTATTGGCAGACATTTCACATGCATATCTTGTTTTGTGCTAGAACACAGAAATAGACACAGAATGTATTCACATTCCATGAATGGTCATAGTCAACTTGCTTCCCTTTAAGCCTCCAGATTTATGTTGGGAAAGAAAGAAAGGGAGAGGGAGAGAGAAGAAAAGGGAGAGAGGGAAGGAGAGAAAGGGAAAGAAGGAAGGAAGGAAGAAAAGAAGGAAGGGAAGGAAGGAGGGAGAGAGAGGGAGGGAGAGAGGGAAGGAAGAAGGAAGGAAGAAAAAAAAGCAAGAAAGAAGAAAATCATGTGCAAACAAGCATTCGTATACCAAACGTGTAAGTACTATTTGAAGGACTGATCTAAGATTGGGAGGTGGAGAAAGATTAGGTCTTTAAACACATTGCTAAGAAATACCCTATGGTGGAGAAGTAACACACAGAAGCACTTTCAGTCCTTTCTGCAGTACATTGCATAATTGTAACTATTGTGGCTGCCTTTTCGTAAGGAAATAAACCTAATACAGATGAATATAGTATTAATAGCCTAATGGCCTAAAAAAGCATATGAGAGAGGGGCTCAGCATATTTAAATTTCAAAAATACACTTTTCCCAAACTGCAGATCGGTTGAGGAAAGTAATGCATAATACGATAGGCTGATTTGATCAAATTGTCTTACGGAGTATTTTTCACATAGTCTGATACGTTTTGCATGCCTCTGATAGTTCTGTGCTTTTAAAGTCTATTCGCTTCTCTGCAAAATAAAAATATTATACTTTGACTTTAGAGAAATAGTTTTATGTATCTGTCCATTGCAACTATGGTCTGGTATATTAAAAATATCCTATCTATTTTACAGATCTCTCAACATGGTAGATTATACAATTATGTTTCAGCCCATTTAATTACTTTCAGGAAAAAAATATCATAAAGATTGGTCATCTCACAGAGCATTCCTGATATCGGACCTCAAATCTGGAAGTGGGAAAAATGAAGAGAAGAGAATAATAGTGTTATATTATCCTTCCTTTTGGAGTTTAGTAAGCTCATCCTTACCTATAGGCCTTGTGTGAGAAAAATGTATGCACAAGGATGGCTGAGGAGTGGTTGCTACTCACTCAATTTACATGTTTTCTATGGAATATATTAAAGTAACTACATTTCCTTCGGGGGTACACCATCACCTCAAATACAACAGGTCTAAGTGAACACCTTCTCTTCCCTATTATGCTATTTGCCCTTCTTTTCTCTCGGTTGTACAGCCATTCTATCAATAACCGAAGGTCTAAATTTGACTCCTACCTTTCTCTTGATTTCCACATTGACTCAGAATGGAATACTGCTTCTTCTCCTTTTGAAATCCCTCTCAAATATACATCTCCTTCCCCACTGCATACACACTTTCTCAGCCAGGCCTATAACATCTCTTGCTTTGGTTCTTAACAATTTCTAGCTGGTCTTCACACCTCCATTCTTTTCATATTTCGGCCACACAACAAACTACATAAAGTAATATTACAGTTGCAGGTTCAGATTCCCAGGAAATAAACTCTGAGATGCTGAGATATACGTGCAAGAGGTTTATCAAGTGAATGTTCACAGGCACAAATCTGAGGGAGCAAAGGAAGCAGGATAGGACAGATAGAAATGCAGAAGTGGGATGCAGTTTGCAACAGAGGCCTCAGCTGACCCCACAGGGAACTCTGAAGGGCTGGGACTTCAGAGATATCCACAATTGAGGCAAGAGGGCTGAGCTCTTGTAATCCCACATAGACCAGTTATTAGATGTGGGCTTTCCTGCAAAAAGGGAGAATAACTTTGGGCAAAGTAGTACCCTTCCACAGAGGGCAAGGTCTGGGGGAGACACAGCTGTAAGTAATTAGCAGCAAATACTCCTGGCTATGGTATCATATGTGCCTTGGTCCTGAAAAAGAGCCTGGATGGTATACCAGAGAATTCACTAGAATTTACCTTTGGAATGTACAGATCCTCTTGTTTCACATAGGACATCTGAGACAATCTCCAGGACTGCAGTTGGTCTCTTTTCCTGGAAATTTATAAGAGGAAGATTAGTAGGATGCAATACAACCTCTGCATCTACAGCTGTTGTGAAAGTCACACCTCATATCCCTCTACTACCCAATCTAGATTCCTTTCACCCTCACCCCAGCCTCTCAACAGGTCTATGTGGCTTAACTGCTGGGCTCAATCAGTCACTCATACCTGAGGGGTATGAGTGACTTGGTCACCACACCCTCCTTAGGCTATGGATGCAGTACTTGTCCATTTACTATCAAAATTGAGCGGAGGAGTATCGCCCCAGTGGCCCACCTGTGGCCCTAAATAGAGCTTATCTTGGCCTGGAGAATGGCACTTCATCCTTGTAGTACATCACCTCTGTATACCCTCAGGTAGTGGCACTGGCTGAGGCCCTGTGGGTGGGAAAGGTAAACCCTACCTGGAATATGTGTCAATTCCAGTCAAGAAGAATTGCTGTCCTTTCCAGCATTGAGAGAATCCACTGAAATAAACCTGTGAAGTAGCTGGTTGCTAAGTGCTGCATTAGGACTCAGTATTGGTCTTTGTTGCTGGTGTGTGGGACCTTTGGCTGTGGCAGTAGCTGAACCAGCAATTGGGCCCATGCATTAGCTTCTCTTTTTATAAACCAACTGGACTTGCACTTGTTTGCCCAGTGGCCAGAGGTTGGCTGACATCAAACGCCAGGTTATTCTGTCTACTTAGTTGTTAAATGCCTCTTCTGTGGATGGATGCCCTCTTGTGGACCTTAACATGGGATACAAATATCTTCACTCATCATGTTCTCTCCCATACATCTACCCACATGCCTCTTCTGCAGACTTGTATACAATCATCCAATCTATTTCCTCCAGACCTCTGATCAACTAGCCAAGTCAATTGTCACTGCCTTTGAGTTTGTAACCTTGGTCCACTTCTCTTTTCATACAAAGTGACTGGTACACTGCTCAAAGATTCCCCTGCATCAGCTTACTTATCTCCTTGAATTGGCCCTACATGGGTTCAATTCAAAATGTACTATTTAAGTCTTAAGATAGATTGATGCTGGAAGAATACAACCTTGTGACATGGTGGGTCTGATAGAATGAAAAACTGTTCTACCCTCATTGTCATTTGATGTTTCAAGATCAGATACTCTCAAGGGCTCAGCAGCACATTTGGAGCTGTTTATTGAGCACTATATAATTTTGTGCTATAGATGGTATGGCTTTGTGCAAGAACCCTCAGATCTACTTATGATTCTCCTATTGGTGCTTGCTAGAAACTCCACACAGTGTCTTTTCCCACCAGAGATACCATAGGGTCTGCTGGGTCATATGGCCCAAGTGGCAAGGCTGTTTACACACAGTTTGGACCTGCTATAGAACATATCCTTCATCTGGGCCACACTGAAAGCTGGTATCCTTACAGGTTATGCAGTAAATCATCAGAGTACCATTACCAAATGGGGCATAGGCTACCTCCAGGATTCAAAAAACCAGGTTTTGTGGTTGTTTTTTCATAATAGGAATCCAAGAGGAATAATTTGTGTTTTACTTTGACAGACTTGTCCTAAGCTCCTCAATGGTCCCTTAAACATTTCATTGATCTGGTACATCTTTGAATCTTTATAGGATTTATCTCCCATCCTATACAGTGCATGTTTCTTACCAAGGCCTCCAATGTACTTCCACTTATTGATCATCTTGTTAATTAATTATGACCATTTAACTACTGTGATATTCTGCAGAATGTCCAGATGGTCCAGGTCCATTTGGACTGTATTAAGACAGAGAACAAGAGAGTGAACATGCCCTGGGGTAAGACTGTAGTAACTTCATACTGGTGTCTTTCCCATATGATTGCAAATTGATTCTTATATTCCTTTCAGATAGGGTTAAAAAATGTGTTAATCAGGTCAGTAGCCTTATACCATACTAAGACGGTGCTAATTAGTTTTAGCCACATCTGGCACAGCAGCTGCATTTGGACCTACTACTTTGTTGATTTTGCTTTAGTCTACTTTGATCCTGCAGGACCGCTCTGGTTTTTGTAGGGCCCAGACTGGTAAATGAGGATATGATGTGGGTCACTATCTCTATATCCTTTAGGTCTTTAAGCATGACATTCTTCTCTTTTGTTCCTCCCAGGATGCAATTTTATTTTTGGTTTACTATCTTTCTTGGGTTATAAGGGAGGAGTTTCAGAGGTTTCCACTTAGCCTTCTTAGTATGATATTTCTTGCTCCACAAACCAAGGAACCAATATGGAGGAAATAACCAGGTGGGTCCATAGAGCCAGTGGATCCACTGTGAGCCAAACCTGAGCCAGAATTCTTTCTATTAGTCGGCCTCCATAAGCCCCATTCTAAAAAACTAAATTAAGGAAGAATAACCAGGCCTTTAGCCTTCTGACTATTCATTCATGATTTCTTTTGATGTTAAATATTTAACAATATTCTTGTTGACAGTCTATCTTGCCCCTGGGAGTGCCATGTTCTATTAGTCTAGTGATTCTCAACTTGTGATTTCTAAACTAGCAACATTAGTATCACCAGAGAACTTATTTGTTATTCATTATAGCAGGTCCCAACTCAGAACTACTAAATCAGGAAGGCGGTGGGTGAATCTAGCAAGTTGTGTTTTTAAAAACCCTCCAGGTAATTCTGATGCATGCTGAAGTTTGAGAACAATGGCATTAACTAATGCTTTAGCTCTCTTCAGGTCCAGACCTTCCTGGCTGCTACCCTCACCTTGCTGCTTAATACTGTGATTGCACTAATTTTGCTTCAGACACTTAAGCACAACCACCTGGCTCTAGAATCTCAGGATCACCATTGTTATCAGGGAGCCAGGTTCTGTAATAGCATCTCTTGTAGTCAGCTCAGGCCTGCAGGGGGTTGCCACCAATAGGTAGTGATAATTGCTCTCCTTCTCATCCACTTAGCTCATTGGTTATTGCTTTGGTAAATGGAGTGTTCTTCAGATCCTCCCATGGAACACAGCCGTATAGTAGGTGATATGATTTGGCTCTGTGTTCCTACCCAAATCTCATCTTGTAGCTCCCATAATTCCCAAGTATTGTGGGAGGGACCCCGTGGGAGGTGACTGAATCATGGGGGCAGGTCTTTCCCTTGCTGCTCTCATGATAGTGAATGGGTCTCACAAGATCTGATCGTTTTAAAAATGGCAGTTTCTCTACACAAGCTCTCTCTCTTGCTGCTGCCATGTAAGAAGTCCCTTTCACCTCTGTCATAATTGTGAAGCCTCCTCAGCCACATGGAACTCTGAGTCCAATAAACTTCTTTCTTTTATAAATTGCCCAGTCTCAGGTATGTCTTTATCAGCAGCTTGAAAACAGACAAATACAGTAGGTTTTCTGGCCTTTGATGTGGTATATATACCCTAGTCTGCCCATTTTTCTGAGCCTTTTGATTCCATCTTCTTCTGTCTACCACAGCAGTTGGCATTTTACTTCACTTGCTATGAGCCATTGCTTTCTCCAAGCTTCCAAGTACTACCCTATCAGTGTGCTGGCATTATCTCCCAATCTTCCCCAATTAGGGCCCTGAGCTTGGTATATCAGACTTGCTAAGGTTGAAGGTGGAGAATTCAACATCCTTTGAAGCTCTGCTACTCTGATTCTTAAGTTTGTTTCTGCTCTCTAGCCACAGGAGAGGAGAAGAGAGGAGATACCACAAGGATATCTTCTGGTTTTTGTGATTAGCCTTTAATTGATGATTCATTACAGTAAGTGTCTTCCATCCAATTCCACACAGTGCTTATAATTACTACTTCCCCTGTATTTTCCAATGCTTTACAAGTTGCACCCACCAGTGCAGTCCCTTCCATTAGTATTTCACCCCAATTCACCACTGAAAGTTTAAATAATTGCACCACTGCTGCATGCCTGGGGCCATCCATATCCCACCACAAGTGAACAAATGTTTTCATTTCTTTGGTTAAATACCTAGGGATGAAATTGTTGTAATGTCTTGTAAGTATGTATCTAGCTTTATAAGAAAACTGCCAAACTATTATTCAAGTTGGTTGTCCATATCTACATTCAGCGATGAGGATTCTCATTGCTCTATATCCTCACCAACACTTGTTATTATTTTAAAAACAGCTATTTTAGAGGATGTGTAGTAATATCATGTTGGGTTTCATTTGAATTTTTTTTTATGATTAATGATGTTTACTATCTTTTCATGTGCTGATAGTCATTTATATTTGTCAGGATTCTCCAGAAAAAAAACAGGACCAATAGAAAACAGAATATTTACTTATTTATTATGAAGAATTGACTCATGCAATTATGGAGAGTGACAAGTCCCAAGATCTGTAGGACTCACAGGCTGGGGACCCAAGAGAGCCAATGGTGTAGTTCCAGCCTGAAAACCAACAGGCTCAAGATCCTGGCTCGACAGGAAGAGCCAATATTTCAATTAGAGTTCAAAGGCAGGAAATAGCTAATGTCTCAGTTCTATGTGAGACGGACAGGAGGAATTCTTTCTTACTTGGATAGGACCAACGCTTTTGTTCTATTCAGACCTTCAATTGATTGGATGAAATGTGGTTTAGAGGAAACTTGCAAAACTAAACATGTTAAGCACCTGAACATTTCTAATGTTTTAAAATAATCTACAGGACAAAACTCTTGCCTGTAGAATCAGATTTGGTAGGCTTAGAAGACGGCTGTTTGTTATCAGTGGTGGTGCAGTTCTGTTCCCTGTGCTTTCCCCAAAACAGTCACACAACCTGTACTGCAGGGAAGACTAGGAAGGATTCTAGGACTGCATTTTGCCTACAAAAAACTAAATTATAACATTTGTCTTGACAACAGTGTTGAAGACAGTTCTAATACATAATAAGAGTTATTTAGCAAGTGTCTGAAGACTTTATAGTCAAATGAAATATTTATCCTGAAAATAATCCTATTGTGCCTCCCTAAGAAATTCAACTTTCTACTCTCCCAGACAACTATTTCACATCGTCTCTTCCCACCATCCTCCATATACTGATTAACCTTTTAGCGGAAGTTTCCATTATATGGCTATTTGACATCAGCCAATTTCAGGATTTGAACTGTCACTTCCCATATGTAAACTAAAATGTCATGAAAACTGGTTTTTGACATCTCTATGTTAACAAGAAGACAAGAGGATTCTCAAGCCAATTTTTAAGAAGATAATGCATCTTTCTTGTTTGGAGTGATTGAAAAGGAAATACTGGAAAAGCAAAAGATGGCTTAATGAAGTTTTGGGAAAAGATGTCAGTCTGTTTGTAGTAGCAGTGTTTTCATTATTTGGCTTTGATTGTTTCTGCTTTATTTTTGGAAAACAAAATCAACCTAACAGCATGGCCTCTTGTAATGTTATCTTAGGGCCTCATATACTTCCATCCCTAGCGCCTCCTTCTGAAAGACAATCTCTTGGTGACAAGGGGCTTGAATTTAACGTCATGAGTAAGTTCTCAAAAATCTGTCACTGGCCTAACATCTAGGCTTACCATTAGTGGAAGTCAGTGATATGAGTTTGGGGAGTCTTTTCTGTTTGCTAAATTCTAAAATGTGCCTATATGCATGATCAGATGCTGTATGTAGGGAACACAGTTTCTCTATCCCACAGCCAGAATAAAGGTTGAAATGAACTTTAATGTTCATTGATTTCTGGGTTTTGGTCTCACTGACAACTAAATTTTTTTAAATGTTGGAATGCTAGAGGGTGGAGAACAGAAAAAGTTGCTAATTTTTAATTTTGCCAATTAATAACATTCAACAAAACTGAACAAAGAATCCCCACTCTCTAAACATTCATAGTTCTCTTTTCACTTTTTAAAAAGGATAATTTAACACAGAAGGACATAATAACATAGTCTTAGAATAGTTTCCCAAGAAAGAATGCTTGAAAAACTTACCCCCTACCCTGTCTACAACAGTCTCACACACTTGGGAACCATGGATCTAATCCAACCATGCAGCTAATGTTCTACAAGATTCCATCCCAATGGTCAGAGTTTATTTGTAAAAGCTTTTAAAAACAGAGAACATGCTATTTTTATAAATACTCCTGACGATTATATTAGATCTTTTAGAGGACATATAACATTGTTCTTCATGATTATGTGACAAGCACTGCTAGATTCTTTGGCTATAAAGATTCAAGATAGTTCCTGCCTTCAAAGAGTTCACAATCTAGTGACACAAAGACATATGTAATTATAATGCATGTGGTAAGAAGAAGTATAGAATTCAACACACTTAGAGTGCACTAGGGATTGGGGTGAGGGAGTCTGGATCAGTAGGGCTTTCTGGAAGTAACCCTTTAGCCAGGCTAAGTGTGGGCAGGTGGAGGGAGCACAGACATAAAGAATAGCATGGGCAAATAATCATCACTATTTGTGGTGCTTACTATGGGCCAGGCACTTTACATACATGATCTCAACTGATCTTTAGAACAGTCCCAAGAAGTAAATATTAATGCCTATAAATTACTGAAGCTCAGAGAGCTTAAGTAACCATCCCCCAAAGCCACTTGGCTAGTAAGGGGGAAGAGTCTGAGTTGCAGACAAGCCAATCTGACTTGCCCAAAGCCCTTGCATTTAGTAGCGATGCTATATTGTTAAAGCACAGTGTGTTAAGGTTTTAAGGACAGTATGAAAATCCCTAAGACTATTAAGCTAAATTCACCTTTCTGTATTGGGCAGTTGGTCATCAGTATGAAAAAGCAGGACTCTGCATTAATTGCCATTAAAAATGTTTTGCTAGTAGAGGTCTGCATAACTGATATGGAAGCAGATAGTCCAGTATTTTCATTTTCACTCTTTCTGTAGAGCGAAAATGAAATCTCAAAATGACATATTTTCCTTGTCTTCAACATTTGATGTAGGTTTTTTTTCCTTTACATTTTTTATTGTGGGAAAAGACACACAACGTAAAATGTACCATCTTAGCCATTTTTAAGTGCACCATTTGTGGTATTAAGCACATTCATAATATTGTGCCACCATCAGCATCATCCATCTCTATAATTCTTTTCATCTTGCAAAACTGAAACTCTGTACTCATTAAATTAAATAGTAACTTCCCATTTCCCTCTCTTCTCAGCCCCTGGCAGCCAACTAGTATAGTTTTAAAATTTAAAAAAAATCTCTAAAAACCAACAAAAACTAGCATAAAGGTGACATAGTCAGATTATAATGAAAAAATGTTCATTTTTAACTTTGCCCTGTGGACATCTGGATAGTTTGTTATATTTGGATTTAGAGACTGGATTCTAATTGTTTTATTTTATATATTTGCTTTCTCTTCCAGATTCAAGTCACCTACAAGTTGGTGGTGGTCCCAGGCAGTGGTGGTGGGGTATGTGTGTGTGTGTGTGTGTGTGTGTGTGTGTTTGATCATGTGGTCATCTATACATTGGTAAATAGAGTTGAAGAAATGCCCCAGGGAACAGCTCATTCCCTATGCTGAGGTCCTTTGCCAAGAGAATCACACAAGCCTCAGGTTCTCAAAAAAGCCAATGCTCAAGCCAGCTTTCAGAGGAATGTCTCAAGGATGCTGGCCTCCCTGCAGGCTTCCCAGGCTCTAATAAAGCGAGCTTCATTATCAGCCTTCTTGAGGGCAGAGTGACCCCTTATAGCCTCTTTGTGTCCCTGGAGGCACCTTGCACAATGCCTGGCCTATGCTAGATGTTCAGATGCGTACTTATTAAATCAAAATGAATTAAACACAGAGTAGGACTATAACTGTTACTGCTTTGGAAAAGCATGGTCACTCTCTCAGACTTTTTTTGTGATTATTTTATTGTGATAATGACAAAAACTCTTTAACACAAGAGGATTTGTGTACCACTTCTTTTTTTTAAAATTTTACTTTAAGTTCTGGGATACATTTGCTGAAAGCGCAGGTTTGTTACATAGGTATACACGTGTCGTGGTGGTTTGCTGCGCCTATCAACCCGTCATCTAGGTTTTAAGCACCCCATGCATTAGGTATTTGTCCTAATGCTCTCCATCCCCTATCCCCCACCCCCCGACAGGCCCTGGTGTGTGATGTTCCCCTGCCTGTGTACATGTGTTCTCATTGCTCAACCCCCACTTAAGAGTGAGAACATGCAGTGTTTGGTTTTCTGTTCCTGCTGAGGATTTGGTTTCCAAATAGTTTGCTGAGGATGATGGTTTCCAGCTTTATCCATGTCCCTGCAAAGGACAAGAACTCATTCTTCTTTATGGCTGCATAGTATTCCATGGTGTATATGTGCCACATTTTCTTTATCCAGTCTATCATTGATGAGCATTTGGATTGGTTCCAAGTCTTTGCTATTGTAAATAGTGCTGCAATAAACATACATGTGCATGTGTCTTTATAGTAGAATGATTTGTAATCCTTTGCATATATATCCAGTAATGGGATTGCTGGGTCAAATGGTATTTCTGGTTCTAGATCCTTGAGGAATTGCCACACTGTCTTCCACAATGGTTGAACTAATTTACACTCCCACTAACAGTGTAAAAGTGTTTCTATTTCTCCACATCCTCACCAGCATCTGTTGTTTCCAGACTTTTTAATGATTGCCATTCTAACTAGCGTGAGATGGTATCACACTGTGGTTTAAAAACGCCAAGAAGAGAACACGTGAAATTGTATTTCTCTCTAGCCATATGTAGTCTTAGATGAGGAAGAGTAACAAGGTGAAAGTTAATGGTGATAGAGTTTAAATAGGTAGGTAGAGGAGATGAAAAAATAAAAGGAACCAGTAAGGTTAGAAAAGTTGCTATGAGAGCTTATCCTCTAACTGTTCTTATCCACATCATGATAAATATGTTGAAGGTGCAGGGCTAAGAGCTGAGCTCTGAAGCTAGCCCCTAGAGACCTCCCTCCAAAATGAGGATCTATTAATCAGCCTCTTCTGAATATGACTATTTAACTGGTTTACTGTGGGCCTCCTTAATCTTATCCCCAAGGTTACAAGAGATCTCATAAAATCAGCAGTTGTCATCCAGATTCACCATGGTTGTTGACACTGTTGACCACAATTTTCTTTTTAAAAATGTAATAGACATATTAGGAACCTTTACCCAATAATTAGAGACCATGTGGTCAATTCTTGTGATTCGTGATAGTTATGTTCTATAAAGTCCCCATGAATGCCGACATGGCAAATGTTGAATTATTGGTCCTGGGGGAAATATAAGGTTAAGTTCCTACAAACCTCTGACCATAATATTTTTATCACTCAATTCATATATCACTTTGTTTTATGTGTATTTCCATTTAAAGGCACCTTATTTAATATATATTATTGATTCATTAACATTGAGCAAGGCCAGTAGCACTATACCTTATGCCTGGAGGAAGCTTATCTAACACGTATTTTCTGTGTAAGGTACATCATGTAGCCTTCTTGCAATTAAGGACACTAGACAGCACTTTATCATTGTTCTTGGAAGCCATTATAAATAACAAAATCTCCAAGAAAAAGCACAATAATGCATGCAAAAATCGTGACACTGACTAGGTTGTGAAAAGGACATTTGTTTATAGTATAAGAGCTAAAACAAGAAGGCAGGATGTCACCTTGTTTGACCTCAGCTGGGAACGTGAGCATTGAACAACTCGATTTTTTACTGCTCTGTGCATGTCCTCAAATGACTGTGAATGCACCATGAGTATTGACTTTGGGATCACAAATTGTAGTAAGTGAATTCACAAATATGGAATCTGAATAGTGATCAACTATGTTCTTAAGCACATGAAGCATTTACAAATATCGAGTACATTCTAGGTAAAATAAAAAACAAAACAAAACAAAGCAAAACAAAAACCAAAAAACTCAGCTATCAAAGGACTAGTATTACACAGATTACATTGTGTGTCTACAGCCTAATTAAAGTAAAAACTGACCTTCTGTCACCTAAAAAAAAAACCCATTAGAACTAAATAATAATAGTAGTAATATAATTCAAAATGTGTGGGATATAATTAAAGCAGTAGATAAACAGAATTTTAAAAATATATATTTTAATATTTTTTGTAGGTTCAGGAGTACATGTGCAGGTTTGTTACATAGGTAAACTCATGATTTGAGGGTTTGTTGTACAGATTACTTCATAACCCAGGTACTAAGCATAGTACCCAATATTTTTTTTCCCTGAACCTCTCCCTCCTTCCATCCTACTCCCTCAAGTAGGCCCGGTGTCTGTTGTTCCCCTCTTTCTGTCTATATGTTCTCATTATTTAGCTCCCACTTGTAAGCGAGAACATGTGGTATTTGATTTTCTGTTCCTGCATTAGTTTGCTAAGGATAATAGCCTGTCGTTCCATCCATGTTCCTGCAAAGGACACAATCTTATTCTTTATTTATGACTGCATAGTATTCCATGGTGTATATGTACTACATTTTTTTCTATATTTCATTAGTTTTTGGGGGGAACAGATGGTTTTTGATTACATGGATAAGTTATTTTTTTTTTCTTTGAGACAGAGTTTCACTTTTGTTGCCTAGGCTGGAGTGCAATGGCACAGTCTTGGCTCATTGCAACCTCTGCCTCCCAGGTTCAAGCGATTCTCCTGCCTCAGCCTCCCAAGTAGCTGGGATTACAGGCGCCTGCCACCATGCCCAGCTAATTTTTTTTTTTTTTTTGTATTTTTAGTAGAGACAGGGTTTCACCATGTTGACCAGGCTGGTCTTGAACTCCTGACCTCAAGTGATCTGCCTGCCTTGGCCTCCCAAAGTGCTGTGATTACAGGTGTGAGCCACTGCACCCGGCCAGATAAGTTCTTTAGTGGTAATTTATGAGATTTTGGTGCACCCGTCACCTGAGCAGTGTACACTGTACTCCATGCGTGGTCTTGTATCCCTCACCATTCTATCTTCCCCAACGAGTCCCCAGAGTCCCTTATATCATTCTTATGCCTTTGTGTCCTCATAGCTTAGCTCCCACTTATGAGATCATATGATATTTGGTTTTCCTTTCCTGAGTTACTTCACTTAGAATATTGGTTTCCAACTACATCCAGGTTGCTGCAAATGCCATTATTTCATTCCTTTTTATGGCTGAGTAGTATTCTATGGTGTATATATACCACATTTTCCTTATCCACTTGTTGGTTGATGGACGTTTAGGCTGGTTCCATATTTTTGCAATTGTGAATTGTGCTGCTATAAACATGCATGTGCAGTGTCTTCTTCATATGACTTCTTTTCCTCTGGGTAGATACCCAGTAGTGGGATTGCTGGAAAAAATGATAGCTCTACTTTTAGTTCTTTAAAGAATCTCCATACTGCTTTCCACCATGATTGTACTAGTTTATATTCCCACCAGCAGTGTAAAAGTGTTCCCTTTTTACTACATCCATGCCAACATCTATTATTTTCTGATTTTTAAATTATGGCCATTCTTGCAGGAGTAAGGTGGTATGTCATTGTAGTTTTAATTCATATTCAATTAGTGATGTTGAGGATTTTTTCATATGTGTCTTGCCCATTTGTATATCTTCTTTTGAGAACTGTCTATTTATGTCCTTTGCCCAGTTTTTGATGGGATTATTTGGTTTTCTCTTGCTGATTTGTTTGAGTTCCTTGTAGATTCTGGATATTAGTCCTTTGTTGGATGGATAGTTTGTGAATATTTTTCTCCCATTCTGTGGGTTGTCTGTTTACTGATTATTTCTTTTGCTGTGCATAATCATTTTAGTTTAATTAAATCCCATCTATTTATCTTTGTTTTTGTTGCGTTTGCTTTTGGGTTCTTTGTCATGAACTCTTTGCCTATGTCAACATCTAGAAGGGTTTTACCAATGTTATCTTCTATAATTTTTACGGTTTCAGGTCTTAGATTTAACTCTTTGATGCATCTTAAGTTGATTTTTGTATAAGGTGAGAGATGAGGATCCAGTTTCATTCTTCTACATGTGCCTGCTAATTATCCCAGCACTATTTGTTGAATAGGGTGTCCATTCTCCACTTTATGTTTCTGCTTGCTTTGTCAAAGATCAGTTGGCTGTAAGTATTTGGCTTTATTTCTGGCTTCTCTATTCTGTTCCATTGTTCTACATGCCTATTTTTTTTTTTTTTCTAGTATAATGCTGTTTTGGTAACTATAACCTTGTAGTATAGTTTGAAGTCAGATAATGTGATGCTCCAGATTTCTTCTTTTTGCTTAGTCATGCTTTGGATATGTGGACTCTTTTTTGGTTCAATATGAATTTTAGGATTGTTTTTTCTAGTTCTGTGAAGAATGATAATGGTACTTTACTGGGAATTGTAGTGAATCTGTACATTGCTTTTGGGAGTATGGTCATTTTCACAATATTGATTCCACCCATCCATGAGTATGGGATGTGTTTCCACTTGCTTGTGTTGTTGATGATTTCTTTCAGCCATGTTTCGTAGTTTTCCTTGTAGAGATCTTTCACTTCTTTGGTTAGGTATATTCCTAAGTAATCTATTTTATTTTTTACAGCTGTTATAAAAGAGATTGAATTGTTGATTTGTTTCTCAGTTTGGTCGTTGTTGGTGTATAGCAGTGCTACCTATTTGTGTATATTAATGTCGTATCCTGGAACTTTAATGAATTCATTTATTAGATCTAGGAGCTCTTTGGATGAGTCTTTAGGTTTTCTAGGTATATGATTATATCATCAGCGAACAACGACAGTTTGACTTCCTCTTTACCAATTTTGATGTCCCTTATTTTTTTCTCTTGTCTGATTGCTCTCGCTAGGACTTCCAATACTATGTTGACTAGAAGTGGTAAAAGTGGGCATTCTAGTCTTGTTTCAGTTCTCAGGAGGAATGCTTTCAACTTTTCCCCAGTCAGTATAATGTTTGTTTGTCATAGCTGGCTTTTATTACCTTGAGGTAGGTCCCTTCTATGCCAATTTTGCTGAGGGTTTTAATCATAAAGGGATGCTGGATTTTGTCAAATCCTTAATTTCTGCATCTATTGAGATAATCATGTGATTTTTGTTTTTAATTTTGTTTATGTGATATATGACATTTATTGACTTGCATGTATTAAGCCATCCCTACATCCCTGGAATAAAGCCCACTTCATCATGGCATATGATCTTTTTGACATGCTGTTGGATTCAGTTAGCTAGTATTTTGAAGAGAATTTTTGCATGTACATTCATGAGGGATATTGTTCTTTAATGTTCTTTTTTTGTTACATCCTTTTCTGGTATTGGAATTAGGGTGATACTGGCTTCATAGAATAATTTAAGGAGATTCCCTCTTTCTCTATTTTTTGGAATAGTTTCAATAGGACTGGGACCAATTCTTCTTTGAATGTCTGATAGAATTCAGCTGTGAATCCATCTGGTCCCGGGCTTTTTTTCTTGTTGGCGATTTTGTTATTACCATTTCAGTCTTGCTGCTTGTTATTGGTCTTTTCAGAGTTTCTAGTTCTTCCTGATGTAATCTGGGAGGGTTGTATATTTCCAGGAATTTATTCATCTCCTCTAGGTTGTCTAGTTTGTGTGTGTAAAGGTGTTCATTGTAACCTTGAATTATCTTTTGTTTTTCTGTGGTATTGGTCATGATATCTCCTGCTTCATTTCTAACTGAGATTATTTGAATTTTCTCTTCTTTTCTTGGTTAATCTCACTAATGATCTATCAATTTTGTTTATCTTTTCAAAGAACCAGCTTTTTCTTTCATTTATCTTTTACATATTTTTCATTTCAATTTCATTTAGTTTTGCTCTGATCTTTGTTATTTCTTTTCTTTTGCTGGGTTTGGGTTTGGTTTGTTCTTGTTTCTTTAGTTCCTTGAGGTGTGACCTTAGATTTTCTATTTGCACTCTTTCAGATGTTCTACTGTAGGCATTTAATACTATGAACTTTCCTCTTAGCACCGCTTTTTCTATATCCCAGAGGCTTTGATAAGTTGTGTCACTATTATTGTTCAGCTCAAAGAATTTTAAAATTTCCATCTTGTTTTCATTGTCGATCCAAAGATTACTCAAGAGCAGGTTAATTTCCATGTATTTGTATAGTTTTGAGGGTTCCTTTTGGAGTTAATTTCCAGTTTTATTCCACTGTGGTCTGAAAGGATACTTGATATGATTTCAATTTTCTTTAATTTATTGATACTTGGTTTGTGACCTATCATATGGTCTACCTTGGAGAATGTTCCATATGCTGAAGAAAAGAATGTATATTCTGTAGTTGTTGTGTAGAATGTTCTGCAAATATCTGTTAAGTCCATTTGTTGTAGGATATAGTTTAGGACCATTGTTTCTTTGTTAACTTTCTGTCTTGATGACCTGTCTAGTAGTGTCAGTGGAGTATGGAAGTCCCCTACTATTATTGTGTTACCATTTATCTCATTTCTTAGGTCTAGTAGTATTTGTTTTATAAATTTGGGAGCTCCAGTGTTAGGTTCTTATGTATTTAGGATTGTGATATTTTCCTGTTGGACTAATCCTTTTATTATTATATAATATCCATCTTTGTCTTTGTTGTTATTGTTGCTTTAAAGTCTGTTTTGTCTGATATAAGCATAGCTACTCCTGCTCACTTTTGGTGTCCATTTGCATGGAATATCTTTTTCCTTCCCTTTACCACCCTAAGTTTATGTGAGTCCTTATGTGTTAGGTGAGTCTCTTGAAGACAGCAGATTCTTGGTTGGTAGATTTTTTTTTTTTATCCATTCTGCCATTCTGTATCTTTTAAGTGGAGCATTTAGGTCATTTACATTCAATGTTGCTATTGAGATGTGAGGTACTGCTCAACAGCAATGTTGTTGCCTTAATACCTTGTTGTTGTTTTTTTTCTGTTGTGTTATTATTTTATAGACCCTGTGAGATTATGCTTAAAGGAGGTTCTATTTTGGTGTATTTCAAGGTTGTGTTTCAAGATTTAGAACCCCTTTTAGCATTTCTTGTAGTGCTGACATGGTAGTGGCAAATTCTCTCAGCATTTGTTGGAAAAAGACTTTATCTCTCCTTCATTTATGAAGCTTAGTTTTGCTGGATACAAAATTCTTGGCTGACAGTTATTTTGTCTCAGGAGGCTAAAGAAGGGACCCAGTCCCTTCTGGCTTGTAAGGTTTCTGCTGAGAAGTCTGCTGTTAATTTGATAGGTTTTCCTTTATTGGTTATCTGATGCTTTTGCTTCACAGCTCTTAAGATTCTTTCCTTTTTCTTGAGTATAGATAACCTGATGACTATGTGCCTAGGCAATGATCTTTTTGCAATCAATTTCCCTGATGTTCTTTGAGCTTCTTGTATAGATCTCTAGCAAGGCTGGGGAGGTTTTTTCTCAATTATTTCCTCAAATAAGTATTACAAACGTTTAGATTTTTTTCCTCAGGAATACCAGTTATTATTAGGTTTGGCCATTTAACATAATTCCAAATTTCTTGGAGGCTTTGTTCAGTTATTTTTTTTTTTCTTTGTCTTTGTCTGATTGGGTAAATGTGAAAGCCTTGTCTTTTGCTCTGAAGTCTTTTCTTCTACCTTTTCTAGTCTATCATTGAAACTTTGCACTGCACTTTGTATTTTTTAAGTGTGTTTTCCATTTCCATAAGTTGATAGTTTTTTCTGTGTGATATCTATTTCTCTAGAGAATTTTTCATTCATATCCTGTATTTTTAAAATTTTAATTGACTTTTACCTTTCTGTGGTATCTCCTTGATGTACCACATTTTCTTTATTCAATCTATGTTGAAATGGGCTTTTAGGTTGATTCCATGTCTTTGCTACTGTGAATAGTGCTGCAATAAATGTATGTATGCATGTGTCTTTTTGGTAGTACAATTTATATTCCTTTGGGTATATACCCAGTAGTAGGATTGCTGGGTGCAATGGTAGTTCTGGTTTTAGTCCTTTGAGGAATTGCCACACTGCCTTCCACAATGGTTGAACTAATTTACACTCCCACCAACAGTGTATAAGTGTTCTCTTCTCTCTGCAACCTCAGCAGCATCTGTTATTTTTTGACTTTTTAGCAATAGCCATTCTGACTGGTGTGAGATGTTATCTCATTGTGGTTTTGATTTGCATTTCTCTAATAATTAGTAATATTGAGCATTTTTTTCACATGCTTGTTGGCCACATGTATGTCTTCTTTTGAAAACTATCTGTTCAGGTATTTTGTCCACTTTTTAATTTTTTTTTTTTTTTGCTTGTATGTTTAAGTTCCTTGTAGATTCTGGATATTAGCCCTTTGCCACATGTACAGTTTGCAAATATTTTCTCCCATTCTGTAGGTTGCCTATTTACTCTGTTGATAGCTAGAGAATTTTTTATAGCTTTAAATGCTTTCATTTCAAAAGAAAAAAAAAGTGAGTCTGGGCAAGATGGCTCACACCTGTAATCCCAGCACTTTGGGAGGCTGAGGCAGGTGCATCACTTGAGGCCAGGAGTTTGAGACCAGCCTGGGAAACATGGCGAAACCCTGTTTCTACTAAAAATACAAAAAATTAGCCAGGAATTGTGGCGTATGCCTGTAATCCCAGCTATTTGGGTGGCTTAGGCATGAAAATCACTTGAACCTAGGAGACGGAGGTAGCAGTGAGCCAAGATTGTGCCACTACACTCCAGTCTCGGTGACAGAGCAAGACTCTATCTCAAAAAAAAAAAAAGGTGAAATTTAATAAGGTAAGGGTAAAACTTGTTAGAAAAGAAACAAAACTGATCTAAGGAGATTAAAAGTAATGAGATAACAGACTAAAACCCTAGAAAAGCAAAAAATAAATATACTATAATTTAAATTAATATAGCCAAAAATTCATTAACACATCTCAAATGAAACTGATCATGAAAAAAAAGGCAGAACAAAAAAATCTTAGGTATAAAAAGGGGTCAAAATCCAACATAGTAGAGTTAGTGAGACAATAATAAATTTTACATTTTGCCCACAAACTTTAAAACATATAGAAAATCAACATGTTATTCAAAGAGAAATAAAAAATCAAAGTAGCCCTATAACTTGAAAAAAAATTGCTCAGTAATCAACAATCATCCTGGAATGAAAACACCTTACTAAATGACTTTGTAATTTCTACAAACTATAAAGAACAGACTATTTCAGTCCTATACAAAGTCTTCAAGGTGACAGAAAAAAGGAGAAAACATTCCAACTCATTTTATAGTATTAAATAACCTTGATATCAAATTTGGACATAGTAAAATAAAAGTAAATCAAAGTCCAATCCACTTATGAACAGAGATATTAAAGTATTAAACAAAATATTGGTAAATTGAATCCAGAAAGAATATATAATAATGTAATAGATCATGTTGAAAATGTTTTATCTCAGGAATTTGTGGTCAGAGTTATGTTAGAAAATCTAATAATGAATTTATTGCATTAATAGAAAGTAAAAATAAAAATGACAATATTCTCAATAGATTTAGAAATATCATTTGATTAAAAGTTCTTTGGTAAATTAGGAACAGAAGAGGAAATCTACTTCAAGCTGCAGCAAATAGTTTATGTAATGGTAAAATGTTAGAAACATTCTTTGTTGAATCAGATATAACACAATGTTCTGAAGGTCCCCAAAATGAAATGAGCAAAAATTGTGCATGGGACTTCTCCAAGGGCTATTGTTATGGTAAGTGTGGTTTAAAGACAGCAACAACAGATGAAGTCCTGAACTGGTAAATCAAACCTACCCATTATCTTCTGTGGAAGGTCATTTTTTCCTTCTTCAGTTCTCCAGATTGTATCTGAATATTTTGAGTAAATAAGGGTTGAAGATGTTATTCTAGGATGGTTGGCTTAGGAGTTAAGTGACTCTAACTCTGAGCTGCCGGCAGTAGCCAAGCCTGGGTGGTTTCATATTCTATAGGAGTGATGGATCTGGAGCTAATCTCCGTGTTCATAAAATTCTTGACATCCAGATGCCAGCAGTTCACAGAAATATTTATCCACAGTGCTTATGAGGGGAAGCTCCTCATCAGAGACCTCCCTAAATCTCTCTAAGGCTGTAGCAGAGTAACGAAGATTTCTCAGTGTCTGAAGGGAATTGACTCTGGTTCTATGTGATCCCTAGTTTCCTTGGTCTTGTTAAACAGTGAACAGCTGTAGAACCTGGCTGAGCTCCCTGGGGAGGTTTTTATGGGCTGTGCTTGGGATGATTCCCTTTAAACCACTGGGAATATTAAGCTGTGCCTTTGGGGCCTGAATAGTGATAAATGGCATGTGGGACGTGGGTAGCCTTCTGGGGAACAACCCATTCTTTCCTTCTTGACTGTCCATCTCTTAGGCATCACAGTGTTCTCTAACTTTTCCTCTTATCTTAAAATAAGTTAGCAATCTAGATTGTCATATGTAAACTTCCAGCTTAAAATGGTGCCAACTAATTAAAACTGCTTTAAGAAACACTGTGTTGGCCAAACAACAATTGCTTGGTATGTATGATTTGTATGTATGATTTGTGAGCCAACATTTGTAACCCCTGTACTAGGTTAAGATTGGCTGGGAAGGGCCATATTTGTCCTGTTCACTGTTATATCCCTAGCACTTAGCACAGTGTCTAACATGGAGTAGGAGTTCTGTAATTGATGAATAATAGAAAAATCAGCCCAGAAACATTGTCAAAGAGGAAATGAGAGGAGTTTAACTGGGCTTTTGTAAGCTATCACCAGTTTCTCTTCTGGGTGTTCACAAACCATTCCTTTTACAATCTAGAATGATGCCAAGTGACATAATCCACTTTTTTTCTCTTTAGAAAATTAGAATGCTATTTACCTTTACCTATTCTAGGCTTCCAAGACTCCTCAAAATATTTTTAGAGGCCACTGGTATACCTAGAATAATTTTATTTGCAAGATTTCTGAATTCCTTCATTTTAATCCAGTTAGAAACTGGAACATATTGGGAACAGGCAGATTTCTTACAATCTCCATACCTATCTAACCAATTTTATTCTAACCTTTTCAACATGGAGACCACTCTCCTTGAAAAGGCAGAAGTAAAACAGAAATTGAGCTGCGTTTTCTCTTTGTTATCCATTAACATTACACCATCATTTCTAAGTTAGTGACTGAAATTATTATTATTATTGTTAATAACCCATAACCTAATAAATTCCAAAGAATGATCGCATACTTGGCCTGGAATAGTTATTGCAATTTAGCGAAGGAATATCCTGGATAAAACTTGAACCAAAACCAAATAGGACAGATGGTTTTATTCACTTATTCAACAACTACTTATTGATCATCTGTTATATGTCCAGAAGTATGCTAGGTGCTACGGACAAAGAGTTATGTTTCTGACCTGGAGGAGCTCACAACTTAGTGGACGGGGAGGGGTGGGATGAGGAGTTGGAGAAGTGAGATAATCATCAGACAGTTTAGTACTAGGAAAGAAAGTGGTGATTGTTAGGAGTCAGAATGAGCCATTAAAAATGATTTATTTTTATTCTTTGGTAGGGTTTTGGCTTAATAGATCAAGGAGCACTGTAGAGGGAATATGTCTGGATTTTAGCAAAACACTATAGTCTCTTATTACCTAACTTATAAGATAAATATTCAGTAAAATATTATGACAAGCAAAACTTAAAACATGGACTGAATCATAGTACAGTGAGGTAAAACTTATTTTAGTACAATGTGTTGAGTATCAAAAGGTTGATTAATACTTAGGTACTAACATGAAGGGATGTCTTTCATGGTACCATGGGGCTCTGTCCTTGACTGTCCTCTTCATAAACATAGTGAAGAAATGGATGACATGCTCATCAAATTTACATGACACAAAAATCTGGGAGGGAAAATGAGGGTTATGGATGATATTTAAGACTTAAAGAAGTGCTAACAAGTTGGAATGACATGCTTAAAGCAGATGAAATGTAATACAGAAAAAGACACATTTAAAAAATTCGATTGCATAGTACAAGATAGAGAAGAGGTGAGTAAGCAATAATTCACATGACAAATCCAGAAATTTTTCTTGACGATGAGCTCAATTTTAGCCAATAGTTTGATAAGCCTACCAGAAAGTTAATGCATTCTTATGCTATGCTAGTTAAAGTATAATATGAAAATATGCTTATGCATATGGCTAATTTAGCAAATACCAAACTATGTTAAAATTATTTGTTTAGCATGTCTTGCACTAGATTGTGAAATTCTTAAATAAAGAGACTGTGAGTTGTTTATTTTCATATTCCCAAGATTTAGCTCACTTCTTGGAATGTTCAAGGAATAATTGTCAAATGACTAACACATAATTATTATGTGTAGAGGCTGCTCTAAGAACTTTAATGTAATTAGCTTAATTACACCTATTGAGGAAAGTAATAGTATTATTTCCATTTTACAGTTGAGAAAACCAAGTCCTCCATATGTGGCTTATGAATTAGAGGGTGCAGGAAGGCAAAATATACAAAAACTTTCTGAATATCAATATGGAAAATAGTTTTAGATTTCTTCCTTCAAGGTTTTCAAAAGACACAAGCAACTTGTCCAATGTCACATACCTATAAGTGACAGAGCTGAGAGCTGAACCCCCTGAAGTCAAACTTTTAAGCTTATGTTCTTACACACTTTGCTCTACTACAGTGTTTACATAATGATATGCTGTTGGACTGAATGCCTCAGAGCATAGTAAGGTTCAAGGGTTAATGGAGATACTTTTCTTTCCTTTCTCTTTTCTTCCCTCTCTCCCTCCTTTTCCTTCCTTCTTTATCCTTTTATAAAAAAGTATTCAAATCAGCTTATAAAAATAAATGCAACCTTTTTTTTTAAACAGAGAAATTCTGGCTAAGGGAAAATAGGGGTAGGTAAATAAGATGGAGCCATGGTAAGGTTAGTACACAAAACACATACAGTGAGGTCCTATCTCTGTAACATTCTTCGTGACTTCTCAACTCCATGTTTGTAGAGCTCCTTTTTCTCACCTTCTATTGCATTTCTTGTCTACATGATGCATTTGGCACTCCGTCATACATTTCTAATACTTTTATGGGTGTAGCTTTCATTTTCTCAATAAGATTATATGCTTCTTGAGGCAGGAAACTTGTCATATCATCTTCCATATGCTTTTGGACCTTAATATAATACTAGATTTACAGTAGACTCTCTCTAAACATCTGTTGAATTGAAAGGACTTTTAATTATCGAGAGTTAATCAGCATCTATTTCTGAACTTTTCTCAAATCCTTGTTTCTTTCCTTTCTCTTTCTGTTTTCCTGGAACCCCAGGCAGAATTAATGATTCTGAGTGTTCTTGCAAAAACACAAACAAAAACAAAACAAAAAAAACTGTATATTTTAACTATAAAACTTTGAACTACTAGTTATATTTCTGTTTCCTCCTATAGATTGTGAATTATTTGGCAACATAACTTATTTATGCTCATATTTCACTCTGAGGTAAATTACTAGTAGATACTAGGATTCAATATGTTTGGAAAGAAGGGGAAGAAAAAGAGGAGAGACAGAGGATTGTTTTTTTCCCTTTTTGCCATTCTATTGCTGATTATCAGCAATGCCAGAGAGACGGTAGAAGAAAAAATTCAGGTAACAAAATTTTGCATCTTGAAAGAGTCTTAATGAGGGGGAAATAGTTAAAATTATTTGCTATCATGAGATTTTAGAGTTTGTATGTTTTACTTTTCTATACCCCTTTTTATAAATAGCATAGTAATTAAGAGTATGGAGCTCAACCAACTGGGTTCAAATGCTGGCTATACTACTGCATAGGTATATGACTTTGGGCAAGGAATTTATTTCTCTGTGCCCCAGCCTCATCATCTATAAAATGGAGTTAACAAAAGTATCTATACTTCATAGGGCTAACAGTGTGAATCAACTAAAGATACATAAGTCAGGAATAATTTGGAATGGTGCCTACTACATAAAAAGTGCTATAGAAGTGTTTGCTGTTATCATGACTCCCCTGTTTTTGAGAGATTGAATTTCTCATCTTGGACTGCAAAGTCTGGAATACCAGCTACTACTAAAGGATCAACTGCTCTTTTTGAGAACTGGAAACACTCCAAGATTTACTTTCAGCCAGGCACTCTGTACTTCCTGGAGCGATGCTGGCCGCAAAAGCAATGCTCATAGAAGATAATGAAGTACCACATGACTGCAAAGTCAAGAATGCCTAACCCCTAGAAACACCCAAAGAAACTTGGTTTAGATTTACCCTATGTTTGAAAGCCTAATAGGTATGAGGCAGGCAAGCATCCAACTAAGGAGTGGCTCAGGCTATGGAGAAGAAACCCTGGGGATGCGAGGATGGCCCCACAGAGCCCCCTGACTCAGCTGTGACATTCCTGACAGCTGGACAGAGGAACTGGCTCCAAGACCTGAATCCAAGTTTACAAATTCCTTATGTTAAAAGTGATGAAACAGAGGCAAATGATGCCATGCTAGATTTTTATTCTTGTAACAACTTAACTTGGTGTAGTTTATTGAAGTTTATAAAAGCTCTTTCCAATACGTTATCTCATTGATTTACTTGTGAAAGATAAAAGACAGGTACCTTTATTAAAAATTCATAACATAAGCATAAATATCAAAAGTATCATACACATTTACATATTACCCTCAAAATCATTATCAGTCTGTCTTTCTCCTCTTATTCAATGGGGTACTGTTTTTCTTAGAGATATGGAAATATTACTTCTTGGGTCTAGAAGTAGAAAAATAGATTAAGGAAAATGGAATTATTGAAAAGTTTATCTCAGCTAGATGAGAAGAACAGTATTGGTTCCAGAAACAGAGCTCAAATGTTTAGATTTGGCTATACAGCCTCAGCCTGTGCAGAAAGTGATGGTAGACACATGCCTCCAATCTGATGGTTTGCAGCTTCAATCTCACCCCAAACTCTGATTGGAATCTACTCCAGATCCCATCTTGCCCAAGCTTCCCAAGATACTCACAATTCCAGATACTGTCTACTGCCCATTCCAGATACTCACAATAAGAAGAGGTAATTGAGGAGCAAATAGCCAGCAAATTCAATTCCAATCAATCCAATTCAGCTTTATTGAATTAAATTCAGTTAAACATACCAATATTGACCTCCTTATGGCTATATGAATGTACTAATAAGCTTGGTTTGGTATTGAGCATACAAAAATATTAATATATTATTCCTGCCTTTAAAGAGCTCATAATTTAATGAATTAGACTTACATAAAGCTAATAAAAGCCAGGTTGTAGGGTATCTTATAAGAGACACAAATAAAATGGGCAATGGTAACACAGAAGAAAGAACAGTTTTTGCTGATGGGGCAAGTTAAGTGCCCTGATATACAACATTTCGTATAATCCCATAAAGTCATCAAGGTAAAAACTGATTATCCCTGTTTCAGCCATGGGGCAACTGAACCTGAGACAAGTTGCTCAAAGTTATGCAGGAAGCGAGGGAACTTAAACTTGAACTCAGGTCTTCTGAAGTTGAAGCTTGTGATTTGCTCACCAAAGTTTCACTGACGATCCCAGTTCCTGATGATGGATTTGTTAACTTCCACTATAGGGTTCCTAAGACTATACATACCATGGAAAGGCAAGTGACTTATGCTTAGATGGCCATGGGACTACCTTGATGCTACTTCTGGGGGGAACTGAATTAACTAAAGATATATAATTTAGGAATAATTTGGAATGGTGCCTGGTGTACATAAAAGTGCTATAGAAGTGGTTGCTATTATTGTGACCCCCATTTTTGAAAGATCAAATTTCTCAATCTTCATTTCTCAGTGAAGTGTTGTAGCTGGATGACAAGTAAGGCCATGCTAGGGAAATGGGAGTCTCTGCTTGGAGTCCACTCAATAAAGAAGAGATGCAAAATCCCAGAAATCAGTCCCAGGAATGGGCTCTTCTCCCTGATCTCATGTAGTGCTTCTGTATCTGCAACAGATACTGATAGTGCACACCTGTACCACTGCCACCAAAGCAACAAGCCTGTGGGGTGTGGGTGTGTGTGTATGTGTGTTTTCAGGCAGAACAAGTAATGCTATGGACTTGTTCTAGAACCATTTTTCTGTAGACTGTTCATGGCACTCACCTTAGGAAGTTAATACTTCTAAGTGATGCCTAGGCAAACTGCCAGTTGTTTTTGCTTATCATTAATATGTGCTTCTGATTTGGTTACCATGGTTACAGGAAACTTCAGCGATGGCTTTCATTCAAATCAGCCATCCTGTCTTTCATCCATGGTGAATGTTGTACTCTGACCCAGCATTCCAGTCTGGTCCCATCCAAGCAAGGAGCCACATCCCTATGTGTTGTTATAGTTTTCAAGGGTAGTAAATTGTGTAAGGGAGCCCTATATTTTTTTAAAATTATGGCGTACTTTTATAATTAAGTGAAATGCTACCTCTTAAAAATAAAGCAGGATATTTATTCCTAATGGGAGCCTCAAACCCACTTCTGGGAGGGGCCATTAACCTCCAGTGGTGAGGACTTTACCCCCAAGGGGAAAATTAATTTTCTTTGCATTTTTCCTCCAAAGCAATCAGAATTCATCAGAACTACTCTCCTTCATCACTACATAGTGGGGGATACTAAATATTATGATTGGTCTCAACTTTGTTTATTATTACCAAAGGCAGAATCACCACCAACCCATGAAATTACTTCCCATTTTAGCAGGATGACCTTTAGAACTGCCAGCCCTCAAAAAAGTGCCTGGGGAATCCTTAGCTCATTCTTCTGATGTGATGCCTAGCTGCCTCTGCCTGTGATACATGAGGCATTCACAGAAGGCACCAGCTAAGATGCTGCAAGCTTGAAAACAGGCATGTGCTTCCTGGGTCTATAATCAGCTCCCCATGGGCTTTCCTTCACCATGGCTTCTCCCCTTCAGCACGTGCTACTCGTGGAGGTTGTTGGTAGGGCCTTTAAATATACTTTTCCAACTCAAAGCTGCCCTTGCCATACATTTTTCAGTTTCATCTGCATACAAGTATTGGGCAGGGTAGGTGAGGGATCCACTTACAATGATTGGTCTTGGGCCCCACCACCAGGTTTTGATCACAATAAGAAAATGCTCTTTCTCATTATATATCTTATTTTGGTACATCACTCTTTGCAGTGGCTTCATTTTGTGCTATCTGGAGGGGACCACGGATAATTATTTTACTTTGAATTTTTAAAATAGGAACCCCTTATTCGGCTCCCCTAAAACTCAGGCAGCAGGCAGCTCTGGCAGTCCCCCAGAGCAAATAATGACTTGGTATTTCAATATTCATTCTGAGCATTGTCTATTCCCCTGGGAGGTCAGGCACATGGCCCTCTAGAAATCAAATAGCAATAAAATCCAGTTTGAGCTGGTCAAAGTTAAGACATTTCGGGGAATGTGGGATTGTTTTTTCTACAGGCATAAATCTGACCACACCACTGTCTGTAGCTTCTTCTCAAGGACAACAAGTAAAGTTGCTATATTCAGGAATGAATCTGACTTGGGCAAAAGGGCTCAAATTAACTAGTTCCTTGCTTGCCAACCAAATATTTCCCAGAGCCAAAGTCACAGTGAGGATGTCTAATGAGGAAAGAAGAGGTAACAATTCTTATTTGCCTGCAGCCTGATTTCAGCTGGGAAAAGTTTAATTTAGTGCTTGTGTGGGCGGGCATGTGCAAATTTGCAGAATAACTTGCATTAACTGTTTATTTACTTGTCCTTTGGAATTTGGCATGCAGCCTGGCAGCCAGTCACTGGCCAACACAGCAAAAGTGGGGAGTAAGGAAAGTTTATTTTAGACAACCCTGCTGCCTCTTTCTGCTCCTTTCCACATCTGTGGCATTCCCTCCCCCAGGTGTCCTGAGCTATTATGTTCTCTCTCTCTCTCTCTCTCTCTTGCTGTCTTGCTCTCTATCTCTCAGATTTGCTCTGGAAAATATGAATAAGTCATTTGTTCTAAGTTATGAGACATCATCCCAAGGGAACAATAACATCTTTTTTATTCAGCAGTATTAGAAAATGAGGTATTCTACAAAAATAAAATTTCTAGATCAATAAAAATGATAATTTTAAGTGCCAATTAAAAAATTAATTGGCTTGGATAGACACATTTAAAAATGCATTATTTGTATTACTGTCTTCCTTCACAGAGTGCTAAAAATTATAATGAACCAATTATGTAGCATTTGGCACATTACAAAGTGCTTTCATATACATTTTCTCATTGATTTTTCACAAATTTAAAAGGAAATGTATTAATTCGTTTTCACGCTGCTGATAAAGACACACCTGAGACTGGGTAATTTATAAAGAAATAAAGAGGTTTAATGGACGTTCCACGTGGCTGGGGAGACCTCACAATCACGGCAGAAAGCAAAAGGTATGTCTTACATGGTGGCAGACAAGAGAGAATGAGAACCAAGTGAAAGGAGAAACCCCTTATAAAATCATCAGCTCTCGTGAGACTTATCCACTATCATGAGAATAGTATGGGAGGAACCACCCGCATGATTCAGTTATCTCCTACAACATGTGGGAATTATGGGAGCTACAATTCAAGATGAGATTTGGGTGGGGACACAGCCAAATCATATCAGGAAGATACTGGGTTCATGTTTGTGGTGTGGGAATTATTGTCTCAAGTATGAGTTGCTATGCTGTAATTCATGCTGTGCTGTAATACAATGATGTCATATGTGTCTATTCAGGGTGTACAATATTTGCCCCTTTCTCAGGTCCCAATTTGCTTGTTATGCTTTCTGGTCCTTGTGGCTGCTACCTCTGTAGGATCAACTCCTATTTCTCATTGCAGGAGATCTTATATCCAGCAGCTTAGACCATCCAGTTTGGTTTCATATATATATGCCTCCTTCAATTAACTGCTTCTAACTTCATGCAGGCTGGGAAATCAGATGAATTAGTTTATTATAATAGTGTCTTCAAATAAGACCAAAGAAGCTATCCATTTATTTCAGATTGGCCCTCACACTGACTTAATTTCCAAAATACAAAGGTTTAATATTTTCCTGTCTGACCACATTTTCTCAGGCCATGACCCTGTTTCGACCTCGTGTCGGTGATGCTCATGATGCCACAATTATGATTCTCAAATTTCTTTACTTCTGAGAAAACTCAACTATTAGCTTTCTCTGATTCTGTTCCCAGCCTGCTGAATGTTCCTCAGGAAGATCAGAAAACCATGTTGAATAGTACATTATAACTTAAAGATTTGCGAAAGCAGTGTATTATTTATAGAAAATATAGAAGGTGAATTTTGACATGGTCCCTTTCCCAATAAAGGAAATAAATCACCAAGTCACCTATAATCCCCATACTCCAACCCAAGCTCTGTTGGGAGGTTTGGCCTATTTCCCTTCAGTTCTGTTTCTATGTGCATACATGCACATGCATGTGTGTGTCTGTGTGTGCATTTAGATAATACTTTCAATTTTTTCTTCTTGTTTTTTACTTTTTTATGTCATTGGCATGTTCCCTTGTCATTGTATGTTTTTTATACCTATTATATTTAATGATTACATTATAATTTGTCAAGTAGTTGTATCACACATATTTTTATGATAATTATGTCTCTATTATCATATATGTAGCTTTTTTATTTTTTATGGTTTGTGATATTATAAATAACTGCAGAAAACTTTTATATTTAGGACATTTTCTCTAATTAGGATTGTTTCCTAAACTCCTTAACGTTGAAATTACTGGATCAAATGGCAAGAACATTTTAAAAACTTTAAGTCTTTAGAATCTTAAGCCTTTTCTTCTTCACTTACATTTTTATCTTTTCCTATTAAATATGCTACTAATTGAACATTATCTTGTGTCTACATTATGTCAAGCACTAGGGATGACAAGGGGAATAACACATGGTCCCAATCCACAAGAGATCCTCAGTTTGCTGTTATCCTGTGATCAGTGCCACAATGAGATAGCATTTACTTGGAGTAGCAGTGACACAGAGGAGAGTCTATCTAGCTTTTGACAGAGGAGACCAGATGTGTGCATTAAATTTTGAAGAATAAGCAGGAATTCATCAGGCAAAGGCACAGATCCTGGAGAATCATGCTGTGTTCTGAAAATTACAAGTACTTCATTATCACTGGAACATAGTGGGGTACAAATAAAATAAGAACATCTGCTACAATTTATTGCAAGTTGTGCAGCAAGTATTTGCTAAATATTTTATTGACATCATCTCCATCAATCTTTACAACAACCTTGTGAGGTAGGTATTACTAGTCTCGTTTTAGAAAGGAAGATTACTTAGTCATTCAATAAGGATAAGTAGTAGAACTTGTATTTGAACACAGGTGCACATGACTGTATAGCTTGTGCACCTAATCATCATGTTGCACTACCACTTGGATACAAATAGAGTTATGGGAGCTGAGGCTGGTAAGTAAAGAAGGACTAGCTCATATAGGTCCTTCTAATTCGTGCTAAGGAGTATGGGCTTTTTGTTCCCCTAATGCAGAAGATTGGTTATTTCCTCTTTTGTTCTCTTGTCAGACTTGTATAGATTTCTATTGCAACACTCATTATACATATTGCTAGTGTTATGTCTCTTCCATTGAACTGAGATCCTCAAGTGAAGGGCTTGTCTCTTTTTTACATTTGTCTTCTCTGTAATTAGCTTAGGGCCCAGCAAAGAGCAGGCATGGAATCAATATGAATGAATGAAGAAATTGTGGATGTGTTTTCTTTTTTTTATTATACTTTAAGTTCTGGGAAACATGTGCAGAACATGCAGTTTTGTTACATAGACATACATGTGCCATGGTGATTTGCTGCACTCGTCAACCCTTCATCTACGTTAGGTATTTCTCCTAACGCTATCCCTCCCCTTACCCCTCATCCGCCTACAGGCCCTGGTGTATGATGTTCCTCTCCCTGTGTCCATGTGTTCTTATTGTTCAACTCCCACTTAGGAGTGAGAACATGCAGTGTTTGGTTTCCTGTTCTTGTGTTAGTTTGCTGAGAATGATGGTTTCCAGCTTCATCCATGTCCCTGCAAAGGACATGAACTCATCCCTTTTTACGGCTGCATGGTATTCCATGGTGTATATGTGCCACATTTCCTTTGTCTAGTCTATCATTGATGGCATGTGGGTTGGTTCCAAGTCTTTGCTATTGTGAATAGTGCCACAATAAACACACGTGTGCATGTGTCTTCATAGTAGAATGATGAAATTGTGCATTTTTAAGCCAGAACATTGATGTGCTGGAGCAGGCTCTTTCTGGCTTATAATTGTCAATCATTATTTTTTCAGAAATTATCTGAGCTTGTTGTTAAACACAGCCATATTAAAAATTAAATTATATAAGCTTAAAATGAAATATATTATTAAAATCAAAGGTAACACACACTGTCAAGACTCATAACAATTATTTTACATAATGTGTGCTCTCGAGGGTATTTCACCTATTGCCTTTGTATGGTGGAAATATTCTACAATAGTGAACATCTCTTTTCACCTCTTTACTCACATTGGTAACTTGAAATTGTTCATAGTGCCAACCATCTCTTCTTTTAAAACTCCTCCTTAGGTTTTGTGATATTCATTGCACTAATTTCCCGGTTTCTCTGACCATTCCTTTTTCCTTTACGAGTTCCTCTCTAACCTGTCTTTTAAAGGTTATTTCTTTAGTCCTCTTAAATCTTCTTGCTTTTCATCAGTTTTATCTACTTCCAAGGCATCAACTTCTGTCTCTATACAAATGACTTTTATGTTCTTATATCCAACCTCAGCTTTTCTTTTTAGCTGCAAATGCGTATCTCATTTCCAACTATCTGCTGGATATCTTGAACTAGGTATTCTAAAATATGTCTCAGACTTCACCTATCATATAACTGAGAACAGCCCCCCATCCCTTGCTGCCATTCTGACTTCCATAATTATGTTGATGACAACTCCTTTATTTAACTTAATTATCTGGGCTTGAATTCTTAACATAATTTTTGTTTCCTTCGTATCCTTTCCTCTTGACGTTTTTCTTAATCTTTATCTGAGAGTCTTTTCCTTATGTTTTCCTTCCTACTTAATGTGGTACAGTTGAGATAGCTTGACTACATTTTGTCTTCTACTATAGTTACTTATGCATTTGTCTTACACTTCTTACATCAAAAAGTTTTTTAAAAGGCAAGAACCAATATTTAGAACATGCTACCTTACATTGCAAGAGCGACTTCTGGATGTGATTAAATTAAAGACTTTGAGATGGGAAGATTATCCTGGATTATTGGAGCAGGCCCAACATAATCACAAGAGTCCTGATAAGAGGGAATCAGGGGGTATGAGTCTGAGAAGTGAGGACAGAAGATGAACTCCAGCATTACTTAGGGGACAGGGGCCACAAAATGCAGATGATTCCTGCAAGCTGGAAGAGGTAGAGAAATGAATCCTCCCCTAGATACTTTGGAAGAAGCACAACTCTGCTGTCATTTAGATTTTAGCACACTGAGACTGATTTTGAACATCCGACCTCTTGAACTGTAAAATAATAAAGATAATAAAGTTGTGTTGTTTTAGTCCACTAAATTTGTAGTAATTTTTTACAGTAGTCATAGAAAACAGATTCGAGGGATCTTGCTGGAAAGTACATTGTAATATTAGATGATGTCAAAGGCATCAGTTCTTAATGGTGGAATTCGAAGTACCTGTAAATCTTTAATAAGATTTTGACTAATGTGATCATGTATATTAATTATCTATTGCTGTGTAACAAAGTACCCCTAAAACTGGTGACTTAAAACAACAATAGGCATTTATTATTTCTCAAAATTTATGTGGGTCCTAAACTCAGAGATGGTTGGCTGGTTGATTCTGGCTCATGATCTCTAAGGTTGCAGTCAAGATGTTAACCAGATTTTCAATCCTCTGAAGGCTGAGTGGGACTGGAATATTCACTGTCAATGCTGAGATTGATGCTAGTTGTCAGTATGAGGCCTTTGTTTCTCTCCACATAGGCTTTTTCATAATAGGACTTTTTGAGCACCCTTAAAACAAGGCGGCATGGACTTCCTCCAGGTCATGAAATCCAAGAGACAGAAATCAGCAGAAGCCTTCCTTTTTATAACCTAGCCTCAGAACTCACAATGCAACAGCATCACGTCCATTATATTATATTTATTAGAAATGATTCACCAAGTCTGCCCCACATTCAAGGGGAGGAGGATTAGACTCTCCCTTTTGTTAAAGAATTTGGGGACATGTTTTAAAATCACAACATGCCTTAGAAACATAATAGCTAGAGCAATTACCCATTAACACACATATGGCATCTTGAATTTCACAATAGTATATAAAATAACGTATATGAGATAGTATATATTTTTATATACACCATCTCAATTGAGCTTTATAAAAGTTTGGCAAAACAGGTTATTATTATTACTACCCCCATTTTATAGAGAAGGAAAGTGGAGTTTAGAGACCTAAAGAAATTAACCAAATCTAGTTTTTGTGACTCCAAAACTCATGCTCAGTTTCATCTTCTACTTTCACTTTTTGTTTCACAGTTGCTTCTTTTCCCCAAAGCACAGATATCCTTGGTGAGACATAGATGTTGTTGTTACTGTAATTCATATGGTAATCTGCCTCTACTTAATGTCCAGTGACTCTACTGAGAATAAAGAAGAAATGTGCTGATAAGCAACTTCAGCAAGTCTCAGGATACAAAACCAATGTGCAAAAATCACCAGCATTCCTATACACCAATAACAGGCAAGCAGAGAGCCAAATCATCAATGAACTCCCATTCACAATTGCTACAGAGAGAATAAAATACCTAGGAATACAGCTAACAAGGGACGGAAGGCACTCTTCAAGGAGAACTACAAACCACTGCTCAAGGAAATCAGAGAGGACACAAACAAATGGAAAAACATTCCATACTCAGAGAGAGGAAGAATCAACATTGTGAAAATGGCCATACTGCCCAAAGTAATCTATAGATTCAATGCTATTCCCATTAAACCACCGTGGGCATTCTTCTCAGAATTAGGAAAAACCACTTTAAAATTCATATGGAATCAGTAAAGAGCCTGTATAGCCAAGACAATCCTAAGCAAAAAGAACAAATCTGGAGGCATCATGCTACCTGACTTCAAACTATGCTACAAGGCTACAGTAACCAATGTAGCATGGTACTGGTACAAAAACAGACACATAGACCAATGGAAAAGAATAGAGAACTCAGAAGTAAGATTGCACACCTACAACCAGCTGATCTTAACAAACTTGACAAAAAACAATGGGGAAAGGATTCCCTATTTAATAAATGATGCTGGAAGAACTGGCTAGCCATATATGCAGAAAATTGAAACTGGACCCCTTCCTTACACCACATAAAAAATTAACTCAAGATGGATTAAAGACTTAAATGTAAAACCCAAAACTATAAAAATCCTAGAAGAAAATCTAAGCAATATCATTCAGGACATAGGCATGGGCAAAGATTTCATGACAAAAACGCCAAAAGCAATTGTAACAAAAGTGAAAGTTGACAAATGAGATGTAGCTCAACTAAAGAGCTTCTGCACAGCAAAAGAAGCTATCCTCAGAGCAAAGAGACAACCTACAGAGTGGGAGAAAATTTTTTCGATCTATCCATCTGACAAAGGTCTAATACCCAAAATCTATAAGGAACTTAAATTTACAAGAAAAAAACAAACCCATTAAAAAGTGGGCAAAGGAAATGAACCACTTCTCAAAAGAAGACATTCATGCGACCAACAAACATATGAAATAAAGCTCAACATCACTGATCATTAGGGAAATGCAAATCAAAACCACAATGAGATACCATCTCACGCCAGTCAGAATTGTAATTATTAAAAAATCAGAGGATGGGCGCAGTGGCTCATGCCTGCAATCCCAGCCCTTTGGGAGGCTGAGGTGGGTGGATCACCTGAGGTCAGGAGTTCGAGACCAGCCTGGCCAACATGGAGAAACCCCATCTTTACTAAAAATACAAAATTAGCCGGGCATAGTGGTGCATGCCTGTAATCCCAGCTACTCAGGAGGCTAAGGCAGGAGAATTGCTTGAACTTGGGAGGCAGAGATTGCGGTGAGCTGAGAGTGCACCATTGAACTCCAGCCTGGGCAACAAGAGCAAATCTCTGCCTCAAAAAAAAAAAAAAAAAGTCAAGAAACAACAGATGCTGGTGAAGTTGCAGAGAAAAAGGAATGCTTTTAAACTGTTGGTGGGAGTGCAAATTCATTCAATCATTGTGGAAGACAGCATGGCAATTCCTCAAGATCTAGCAGCAGAAATACCAGTTTACCCAGTAATCCCATTACTGGGTATATAACCAAAGGAATATAAATCATTCTATTATAAAGATACATGCACACATATGTTCATCGCAGCACTATCCACAATAGCAAAGTCATGAATCAACCTAAATGGCCATCAATGATAGACTGGATATAGAAAATGTGGTACATGTACACCATGGAATACTATGCAGCCATAAAAAGGAATGAGATCATGTCCTTTCCAGGGACATAGATGGAGCTGGAAGCCATTATTGGCAAACTAACACAGGAACAGAAAACTAAACACCACATGTTCTCACTTATAAGTGGGAGCTGAACAATGAGGACACATTGTGGGGGAAACAACACACACTGGGGCCTGTCGGGGGCGGGCAGGGGGTGGGAGAGCATCAGGAAGAATAGCTAATGGATGCTGCTGGGCTTGATACCTAGGTGATGAGTTGATCTGTGCAGCAAACCACCATGGCACACATTTACCTATAAAGCAAACCTGCACATCCTGCACATGCACCCTGGAACTTAAAATAAAAGTTTAAAAAAAAGAGATGTGGGGCCGGGCATGGTGGCTCATGCCTATGATCCCAACACTTTGGGAGGCTGAGGTGGGCAGATCACGAGATCAGGAGATCGAGACCATCCTGCCCAACATGATGAAACCCCGTCTCTACTAAAAATACAAAAATTAGCTGGGTGTGGTGGTGGGCACCTGTAGTCCCAGCTACTCAGGAAGCTGAGGCAGGAGAATCACTTGAACCTGGGAGGCGGAGGTTGCAGTGAGCCGAGATTGCGCCACTGCACTCCAGACTGGCAACAGAGCGAGACTCTGTCTCAAAATAAATAAATAAATAATTAAAAAATAAGAGAGATGTAATGCTTATTGCTCATCTGATATGTCCCAGACATGGTGCTGGTCACACACTGGTGACTTCCTTCAGGTTGAGACTTATTCATCTCTCTCTTCTCCTTCTCCCCACTCAAATACTAAAGAGTGGACTTTCAAAGGGCTTGATTTTTGCACTTCTTTTCTCCAGCTATGCTAACTCTTGGATGATGTCATCTAGTCATGGCTTTAAATGCCATCCATACCATGATGTCTCCTAAATTTATATGATCAGCTCTGGTGTCTCTCCAGTGCTCCACACTCACTTACCTAGGTACCTACCAGACATCTCTACTTGGCATTTTCAGCCCAGCCTTTACAAAACTGTACTTTTGACTTCCTTTCCCCTTAAACCTCTTCCTTCCCATTCATTGTGAATGAGGCTTATATTCATCCAGTTACTCAGAGCAACAAACTTGGAGTTTTTTTGACTTGTCTCCTTCTCTCATACCTACTTCATCAGAAAATTACATTAATTTTATCTTCAAAACATCCCCCAATCCAACCGCTTCTCAGCATCTCTGTCACTAACCCCCCAGCCTTAGTTATCAACCTCGTGCGTAACCTGTTCTAACTCTTTCTGCTTATATTCTTGTCTGCCCTCCTCTCAGGTCCATTCTGCATGCAATAGTCAGGGTGATCCCTTGAAAATATAAACCATATCTTGTCACCCCTTGCTCAAAATCCTCTAGTGGCTTCCCACAACACTCAGAACAAAGTCTGAACCTTTTTTCAATGTCTCCAAGGCCCCACCCAGTCTAGTCCTCGCACACCTCTCTGACCTCATCCCCGCCACACTCACCCTTGCTTGCTCTGCTTCAACCACAGGGGCAGACTTGCCTTTCTGTGAACACGCCAAGCATGCTGTCACTGCAAGGATTCATATGTCCTGTCCCCTCTGCTGAGATGCTCTTCCACCAGATGGCCACCTGGCCTGCTCCTTTACTTCATTCCAGTTCCTTAATGTCTCAAACAGTCCTTCCCTGGCCACCCTCCTTCCAGCAGGCCTACTCTTCACCCTCCCTCACTTTCTGTCCCCTTATCCCACTCTATTTTTCTTTAGAGCACTTATTAATGCCTGGCATTATACATAGTTGTTGAGTTAGGTGTGGGTTTTTTTTTTTTTTGCCTGTATTCTTTAGTAGAACATAAGCAAGAGCTTTATTTTATTTGTTGAGCTAATAGTAGATACTTAGTAAACATTATGTGAATGAATTCATGTTTTTACCCTCCTACCAGTACCTAATTCCAAGTCTAGAACATAAGAACTGCTCGATAATGTTTTATTGGATAATCTCAATTATCATAACTAACTTGAGATGTTAATATTCTTCTTATTTGACATAAATATTACATAATTTGCCTAAGGGCACCCAGTTGAACAGAAATTTTATTCCTGACCTGACCTCTTCAACTTCAGAGCCTCCATTATTGCCTCTTCCTCCCAGGATTTCCACTTCCCCATTCTGTGTCTGAGGTGTTGGAAGGGCTCAAATGACAACAAAGGCTCCTCTGCATTGTGTTCATAAAAGAAAGCTAAGGAGAGCTCAGGTAGATGGGATCTGGGTCTCTAGGAACCCAGAGAAACACAGTTGGCAAATTCCAAGTGCCATATCTTCTCATAGGTGCAGGCAATAGCATTCTTGCCATTTTACTCCTCAAAGAGCTGTCTCAAAATGCATACTGTGAGTTTTTTTCTGGGCAATCAACAAAATTCCCCCAAATAGCAGTCTCAGGCCAAGTCCTGAAGGCTTCAGAGCTCACATCCTATTTCAGTTCTCTTCAGATCTTGGGAGTGGGGATGGTGGATAAATGGGGTAGATCTTTAATGACATTCTGCATGCTGTGCAGGCCAATTTCAACATTCCAAAGAAGCCGTGAGTGGGAGTGACTGTGGTTCTTCATACTTATAGGAAACATTAGTGAACCAAATAAATTACTTTTCCAAATGTCTTCATATAAGTAAGCCTCTGAAATAAGGCTATTTGGTACAGGTATCATTTTCTTTGTAACTACTGCTTCCAAGGCTGCCCAATCTAAAGGGTTCTCTTCAGTGGGTACACGTCTTGGATCCCTAACTAGGTTGGTGACCCTTTGAAAGCAGGGACCACAGTATACCTTTCTCTGCTGTCCTGTTTTATTTGCTATGATCAGCATATAAGCTCATCTCTGAGGAGGTGTCTGAAATAATCCAGGCCAAGGTAAAGCCTATATTAGGAAGCTTCCTACCCCACTCTCCCATATCCCATCTCAATCAGGTTTTATAGTCTAGAACAAATTGTGCTGCATTGACCGATTGACTCATATGCCTGGAGGGAGCTCTGGTTACTTGCCCATCAGCCACAGCATTCCCTGAAGGCTTCTTACACAGGTCACATCAGAGAAACTAGGTGTATGGCCAGCAGTCCAGTTTCCCACAGAGACCGAAGCCCCTTCCTGAAATCTAGTTCTGACAATCTGCAGAGTTCATAGCCAGCCTCCTATTCTGGGCTGGGCCCTATTCTCCACCTCAGCCAGCTTCTGAGTGCAATTCTGTATTGACCAGAGCTAATTTGCCCATACCCAGTTAAGTGTAATATCACCTCTACTTGGACTCCCCTGCCACTAGCTCCACCCACTGGTTTGGTTCTGAAGCATCTCATAGTTTTGGATACTGGATTTAGACAGCAAACTCTGGAACTCAGGAACCTGTTGCCCCAGTACTAATTCCAGTTTCTCACTTTTGTTGCTGACCTATGTTACTGAGTTCTTTGCAAGACTTAAAGCTGTTACCAGAGTTATGACAGCAATAAAGCAGGTACTCAACAATACTAGCTAGAATAAAAAATAAGCATTTCTCTGTTGTGAATCTTCATGTAACAAGAAATGTTGGTAACAGAGGTTGATGTTTCAAGCTTCACTTTGTGGAGGAGAAACTAAAGCTTCTCTTATAGGAGAAAGGAAGATGCTGGTAGATTCAGGAGCTGCACTGTGTTTCCAGGTATCCTGCTGGCACCATTTTCAAACCCTTCAATGCCTCTGACTCAAGGCCCTTAAATTTGACCTATCAAGGTACTTTAGATCTCCTTAGCCCTTTAAAGTATTATGGAACAATAAAAACTGGACTACTCCATTCTGTGTCACTTAGCATCGTTAGTAAATCTGCCTTTTATACCCTTTCCAAAGGTGTTAAACGATGACCATTGTCTCAGTTTAAAAGGACAGCTTGAAAAGTTCACTTTCTATATGGAGATGGTACTCCTGACCCTAACAGGAGAACATGCACTTACAGTCACTTTTCCAGGAGTGGGGAGCAGCCTGCTCTCCACTCTATGCATTCTCTCACTCAGCAGTGTGAGAACAGTCAGAAAAGCACAGGATCTGTTTGGTTTGAGATCCAATGTTCTCACTTATTGACACTTTAACTTTTTTTGTTTGTTTGAGACAGTCTCGCTCAGTCACCTAGGCTGGAGTGCAGTGGCATGATCTCAGCTCACTGCAACCTCTGCCTCCCTGGTTCAAACGAGTCTCACACCTTAGCCACTGGAACAGCTGGGATTACAGGCCTGCACTACCACACCTGGCTAATTTTTGTATTTTTTGGAGTGATGGGTTTTGCCATGTTGGCCAGGCTGGTCCTGAGCTCAAGTGATCTGCTCACCTTGGCCTCCCAAACTCCTGGGATTACAGGTGTGAACCACCACGCCCGGTCGACCCTTTAACTTTTGACAAGACATTTAACCTCTTCCAGTCTCAATTTTCTCTGAGGGCTGTTTGTGAAGATTAAATACTATAGTATATATTAAAAAACTTCAACAGTTATAAATTTATTTACCACATTTTTGGATATTTTAAAGATAACAATAGCCAAGATCAATAAGATAGTTAGATGTGGTAATGAGATGGAATTTTCCTTTTGTGCAAAGCTAGCTGGCTCATCTGGGCATTAAAACCATAAGGAAGTTTTCTTTGTAAGGAAGAAAACTATCTCAGTTTTTTTTTTTTTTTTTTTTTGTGGAAGTAGTTCCTAAGACGTACTGTATCTGAGAGGTGACCCCATGAAACTCCAGCAGGAGAAAGAGGAAGTGATACAGGAAAGGGAAGGCATCCAAGAAGGGGTGTGTTATGACACCATCTACCAAAGTGGGTGACGGAAGATTTTTCCCATGGGAAAACCCTAGGAAAGAGCATGAAACACATGCCTTGGAACTATCCTACTGGAGGCTGAGGGAGCTGGGTGTAATTTGTGCACTCACTCCCATTACTCATTGTTGAAATGAGTACTCACTGCTGGAGGTGATGGTGTTAATTCCTGATACTTCCAGCCTGTGCCCTGTGTGTGTGTGAGTGTGTGTAAAGAGGGTGGCTAGAATTCAGCCTTCTAGAAAAACCCTTAGGTACAGAACTCGTAACTGGAGGTTGTGTGCGGCACACTGGGCAGGATACCTACAGAATCTGCTATGAAATTTATCTGTGGTACAATAGTAAAGACATGGAGTCAATCGAAATGTCCATCAATGATAGACTGGATAAAGAAAATTTGGTACACATACACCATGTAATACTATCCAGCCATAAAAAGGAATGAGATCATGTCCTTTGCAGGGACATGGATGAAGCTGGAAGCCATTATCCTCAGCAAACTAATGCAGGAACAGAAAACCAAACATTGCTCATTCTCACTTATAAATGGGAGCTGAACAATGAGAACACATGGAAATGGGGAGGGAACAACATACACTGGGGCCTGTCAGGGGAGGGTGAGGAGTGGGGAGAGCATCAGGATAAATAGCTAATGCATGCCAGGCTTAATACCTAGGTGATGGGTTGATAGGTGCAGCAAACCACTATTGCACACGTTTACCTATGTAACAAACCTGCACATCCTGCACATGTATGCTGGAACTTAAAATAAAATGATCTGTGGTATTTGAACTCTATGCCAGGTACAAAATTAAGTATTTCCCTCTAGTTAATGATGATGAACCCATGGCTCAGAGAGCTCATATCTAGTTCTGTACTGAGTTGTAATCCCCTTGAGATCAGGGATTGGCTGGTACCTCTTACGTTCCCAGTGCTAGACACTGGGCCCCACACCTTACTGATGCTCCTTAAATGTTTGAGCTTGATAATTATGATGATAATTTACACAATGCCAACTGTTAATGAATGAATTGGGAATCATACTTTTATATCTATGATTTAATTATACTTGACTTTCATAATAACTTTATGAGTTATTATGAGCAAGAATTGTTATTATAAGCTGAATTCTACAGGTGAGAAGCCTGGCAATAAGTCATGATATATTTAAAAGGCCGAAAATAAAGAGCTAAATCTTTTTATCTGGAAAATATAACTTACAGAAAAGTTACAGTAATGATAAAAGCTAATAGGTGGTCATTCAGAAAACGTAGTCAACAATGCCTGGAAATTAGAAGCAAAATTCCTTTTTGTTTAATAAAGAACATTTAATATAAACTTTAAAAATGGTTATATGTGTTTTAATTGTTCTTAAACTGTTTTTGTAAAACTGTTGCCACATTTCCAGCATTTTTATGGAAACTTGAGGGGAAAAAATTACTCTGTGAACTTTTCCTTTTCTTATTAAGGCAAATAAACAAATAAAGATGAAACTCTGTGCATGCATCTGAGACCCAGATAAGGGTTCCTTTGTCGCTCTCACTAATATAGAAAAATCTATTTAAGTTTTCTTACTTCCCCTTTCCTTTCAAACCTGATCCAGTTAGTCTTGGCTCCCACCCCCTCCTTCCCCAGTTATAAAACCAAACAGAAAGTTTGTACTGAAGGAACAAGTCCCTGCAGTGACTCAGAGGAAACAAGCATTTATAAACCATGTTTCCCTAATGCCTCAGTACAAACATGGCTGTGGCCCAATTCCAGATTGGACAAGGCAACACTCACTCGTGTGGCCCCAGCAAAACTGAGTGTCAGAGGGGGCTAACCAGATACAAGACCTGAGCTGCAAATGGCCATGAGGCAACACTACACCTTGGAGATCTTTCATCACCAAGAATCAAAGCAACAATGGCTGAAACAAAGTCAGGCAAAGAAATGTTGGACTTTGCTGGAATGGAACTTTCTCTTTGAATTTTCTATATAGGTTGGCCTGGCTGCAGCTTCCATACTAGCTAATCCCTTCTTAGTGGTGTCTGCGAGTTGTTTTCTTTGTATAGTATCTTTGCCCTAGGTTCTATGTAGACCATATCTGCCTGGAATACAAAGGGTTACAAGGACAGTTTGGTTTTGGCTCTGGAGTCAGTCACATCTAGTTTTGAATCTCAGTCCACCACTTCATATTTTCACTTGACAAATGTTTACTAAGGACCGATTTTGTGCCAGGCCTGGTTCTAAGTGCTGAGAATGAGGAAGTGAGCAAGATAGTCAGGGTCCCTGCTCTCCTGCTGTTACATGCTAATTGGAAGAGCTATGAGAAACAAAAACAAAACCAGAGAGATTGTCTGGCAGTGATGGTAATAATGCTATGGAAATAAAATTAGAGAGTTAGGTTGGGTGAGCAGGGAAGGCCTTCACAAAATGGTGAGGAGGAGCCTTCTGTGAAGAGATTACATTTAAGCTGGGAGCTTAATCACATGAAAGAGCCAGTCAGGATAAGAACACTCCTGGCACACACAAAATCCTGGAAGAGGAATAATCTTGGCCTATCTGAGGAACAAAAAGAAAGCGCATGTGGTGAGTGAAGGGAGAGTAGTATGAGAAAAGGCTGGACAATGTGGTAGATGAGAGATGGCCCCTCACTCTTAAAGATGCCTCCCATAGACATGTGGGTCTATTTCCCCTCCTCTTGAATCTGGCCTGGCATCTGACTGTTGTGACCACTACAGCATGGCAGAAGTGATGTGGTGCCTGTCCTGAGCCTAGTCTTTAAGATGACTGGCAGCTTTTATCTTTGTCCTCTGTGGCCCTAAACTGACATGTAAGAAGGCTGAAAACCTGCTGCAGGGCCACACGGACAGGCCCTGAGAACACGTGAAGAAAGGGCCTCAGCTGAGCCCAGCCTTTCAGCTGCCCCTGCCAAGGTGCCAGACAAGTGAGTGATATGGTCTTGGACCAGCTTAGCCACAAACTTAATACCACCACGTGACTCCAGTAAAGGCCACATGAGACAGAAGAACCATCTAGCTGAGCCTTGCCTGAAGTCCTAACACAGACAAAAATCATGTGATCATGTGATACAATTCAATGGTTATTGTTTTAAGCCACTAAATTTTGAGGGTAGTTTGTTTCTTAGCAAATGATTTCCAGAAGAGAGAGAGAGAGAGACAGAGAGAAAGAGACTGTAGCAATACTACTTTGACCTTGATCCAGGATAAAGAGTTTGGCCTGAGATGGATGAGAAATCATGGGAGGGCTTAAGCAGAAGGTGTAGAGCTTATAAAAGGTATATTGTGAAAATTATATTATATATAAATAATGATAGTTTGCCTGTTTCCATTTCAATAAGAATTGTATATTGTTGCTTTTTATTTTTCTTGTTTTACCCCATTATCTAGGGTTTCTGGTTAAATGTTTAATGGAAGTGGTATTATCAGGAATTTTTGTTTTAATCTTCATCAAAAATGGAAGCTTTAAACTTAATTCTAATACTAAATGTTAATCTTATTCTAGACTGGATATTGGATATTGGACTGGTAATTACACTACTAAATTTGATATTTAAACTAAATCTTTTGTTGACACTCTTTTTTGTTGTTGTTAAGTCTTTGGAAGTTTCCTTTTATTACTGATGTGCCAAATTCTTTTTTAATCACAAATAGATTTTGGAATTCATTAAACTTTTTTCAGCCAAAAGAAAGCTCCATGGTATTTTAAAACTTAATTTGAGTGCTATTTGCTCCTGGCTTTCTAGTTCTTTGACCTTGCACAAGTAAACTGAACTATCTGCGTCTTAGTTTCTCAAACTGCAAAACAGGAATAATAACAGTATTTACATCATAGAGGTGTTTGGGGATTAAACAATATAAAATCATTAACATAGTATGTAGCACCTGGTTAAGGGCTCAATAAATGGTAGCTGTACACAATATGCTACGTGCCAGCATAGTGTGCTATTTTTATGGCTCAGTTTCCACCTGAAGTTCTATATATAGCTGGAGGAGACTCCAGCTATATTCAAATTCCTCTCAACTAGTTCAGGAAATCGTTAGAGGAATCATGCACATACTCACATAGAGGGCCTTTGCCATCTCAGTTGCATATCCACTAGAATTGGCCAGCCCAACTGCCATTTGGTATCCTCCAGGGCCTCTTCTTCTCTGATAATGGTTCCATGGATTCTCCAAAATGGCAAGCCCTATTAGCCTACTGAACAGTGGCTGCTTTGTCCCTTCCAGTGGGGGACATGCCAGGCTGCTGCCTCTCAGACTGTCAGTTGAGCTGCAGCCACCATCAAGCTCAAGTGGGGCAAACATCCTCACTTTCTCCCCTTTGGAAAGAAACTGCCAAGAGAGTGATTACTTGACCTTCCAGATCCCTGTAGAACTTTCTGTGTTACTATTTTATTGTATTATATTATAATTTATTTCAGTGACACCTGTTATAAGGTGATACAGTCCACTTGTACTCTGTGAGCAAACCTGTTCACTGGCCCTCTACTTGGCCTCTGCTCTCTACTTGGCCTCTGCTCTCTACTTGGCCTCTGATGCCCTTCCCTTCACCCAACTTCTATCCTGGTTTGTTCCTTAGATGAGTTTTTTCAAAGTTGTGTTGAAAAAACTTTAGTTCACTTCTTCAGACATGCCCCATAAAAGAAAAGTGCTCTTGATTAAATCCCTTTTTCTTTTTACATCTCCATTTCATAGACTCATAGTGCATATCAGCATAGAAAGACCCCAAAATATGTTCTAGCAAGAAGCACTCTTTCACTTGGCTTAATCCAGTATTTCATAAGCCTATTTAAACACAGAATGATTTTGATCTCTCTGATGAAGAATCCATATTCAATAAATGTTGTTTGAGGAATGCTGCATTTCATGCCTTCCCTACTTCCAGGGATAATAAGCTTTTAAAATTTAGTTGTTACCTTACTTCTTTCAGTTACAATAAATATCAAAGTAGTGCAGATTTTTTTTTTTTTGATCTTCTAGGGGTTAGTCCTATTACATAATGAAAATAGACTGCCTGCATTAGAGTCCTGAATCCATTACTTACTTGCTACGTAACTGGGCAAGTTACTTTATTTGCACCTCAGCTTCCTTGTATGTAGAATGAAGATAATTGATAGTATTTTTTTCAATAGGGCTATAGTGATGATTAAAAGATATCATGTATAGAAAGCGAGTTCCATATATTCTGCTCATAGAAGTTAGTTGCTATTATTGTAACTATTATATGATTATTATTACAATTATTATTCAAAATGAAAGAGCCAACGGTTAAGGCCTATAAATCTTTCTTTTATATACAATTTTTCTTGAGACAAAATTGATCAATACTAGATTTGTCCAGCTTGATTTAAACGTCATCCTGTTTTTGTTTTAAATCAGCATGGCTCAACAAAATCTGATTTTAGAATTTATGTGATATTGTACTTATGTATCACTGAAATCAGAAGTTATGTATCACTGATATGAGAAGAGTGTTAACTAAATGTCTTGCCTCTTTCATTCCTATCTATGTAATACGTTATGACAATTACATTTGCTATCTTACTAGTGTTAATGCCAAAATAGAAAAACCCAATGTTGATAGTACTATTTAAAATATAGTTATATGCATTTAGTATACTCCAGCCGCTACACATCAAATATCCCTGAAAAAAAAAGTATTGGAGAACTGTAAGCCTCATGTTAGCCAATTGTTTATTCTAAGCACTTAGAATCCTCTAGTTATTAGTTCATATTATGTTCAAGAGAGCTGTGTGTGTTGAGTAGGAATGAGCATTAATCTCATTTTCTAAATGAAGCCTTCAATGCATATGGAAATTTTATTTTTATATTTCTGATGATGGAAGAGGAAAGACACAGGCTAGTTATCAGGGTGGAGGAAACCATGATTAGGACCTTTCCAGGATTAGCTGTTACTATTAAGGGTCTTTTGTTTGGGAACTCAGAGAATAGGAGTGGCAACTCTTTAATCCCAGTCACCAGACAGTGTGTACAAAACAGGATCTTCTACTTTATAAAGGAAACATAAGGCCAGTGAAATAGGGAAGATCAGGGTTGAATTGAATAGGGATACAGTTTATCACAAACTAAAATTTAGTGATAGAAGAGACATATGTCCCATAAGTTCCCTAAATCTTGCTCTGTATGTCAGTCTTCCTTAAGTTATGTATATATTACAAATAGGAGAAAAGCAGGTTAGATCCTCTATTCAGTGTCTTCTGCCTTTCCTTGCAGGCAGCTGCCCAAATAGGAGGGATTCTGTATATAAGAAAATATTCTAAAAGCTATCCTTGAAAACTTAAACTTATTCTAATGGCAAATGTACATCATACCATACAATCATTTAATAATCTGTTTTACTGTTTTTATAAAACTCTTGATTTACAAGCAATAAGCTTTTGGGCAAGGGTTCTTTTGGCTAATGTAATGATGGAAGTGATTTTATGATGCACACAGCACAAGGGCTCCTTACAGAATTGTTATTGTTAATATTATTATTTTTGGCTGAATTTCTTGGCTACATTCTCTTTATCCTTGAACAGAATATGATTTTCTTACGATTGGGAAGGGCAGGAGTCCTGAGAAGATTATTTAACCTCCAGTAGGCAGGGCTGTACCTATCTTGTTCACCACTGAATCTCCAGGGCTGGATATATGCCTGGAACCAGAGAGTCTCAGAAAATATTTGTTGAATAAACGGATGAAGGAATGAGTAGATAAAATGTTTTCTCCTTGAATTATCCAAATAAGCTACTTAGAATTCAAATTACTGAATAATTTTTCAGTCCTCCACTTTGCTTGGACACTGAAAATTGCTTTTTGAAAAGTCAAAAATTAATTTGGAGCCCTTTTCAAGAGCAACTTTTTCTAGAATCCAATGTATAATATAAATATAAAAGATGTCTTATTTCCTATCTATTGCTATCTTCTTAAGTTGCCAAAGGCAAGAAGACAAGTATCTCTCAAATGCAATGCAGACAAACTGCCTACTGCTATTTAATGAAAAGGAAACAAAATTGATCTTACATTGTACTTTTATATAAATAAAAATATTATTTAAACCCTCAAGCCAGAAAACTTCCCTAGAGTAATATTGAATGATTCCTTGGTATTTCTTTCTTTACAAAAATATCAATATCAACTCTCTATAATATATGAATTTTATCTTCTTTTTCCCAAAGTCAAACCAGAAAATAATTGTTAGTATATATAATATACATAGCTCTTTATTGCTGGAGTTCTTCTCAAAAACTTGTACTCTGAGATTTACCTCAAAGGCAATAAAAATAAAGTTATAAAAATATTTTATTTGGCAATATATTTTTTCCTGCTGTTTCACAGAACCAAAGAGTGAGAAAAAGACTCACTGGAAATGCATTTGTTAATAATTTACACATAGAGTATCATGGAATATTTTTCCTACAAATAGCTTTATATTAGAGATGAATCTTCCTATAGCTTCTAATTCAAACCATGTATTCTGGATTTAATATTAGGAGTCACTCTTAACTATCTCACATGAAGGACAGGGAATAGATCAAAGATGTCTCTGATAATAATGGAATATAGTTATAAAAAGAAGAACCAAAATCAAAAGAAAGATTGCCATAGCCTTCAAAATGTATAAAATTGACATTGGGCTTGTTGCTTTGGATAGGTATAAACTCAGGTTAAAAAGTTTTTTATGAAAAAGAAAGAATCTATAAAATCTCAAGCAAAGCTACATTTCCCAGCTTTATTTGTTTTACCATTATTGACATCCAAAACACAAGTCACACATCAGCTTTGGAGATTAAGTCTCACTCTGTCCTTCTTGGTGTGTGTGTGAGTGTGTGTATGTGTTCTTCCCAAATTAAAGTAATAATTCTATTGCTTTGCAAAATACAAAACATAGGGATTATGGGAAAATGGCCAAGTTTATGGGAAAATGTGCTGGCTTATATATACCATTAGTCTCATTAATTTAAAGCACTTTTCTGTGCTGCTATTTTTCTATTCCCTATCCTTTCATTCAGAAAGCACATATGGAGGCTTCCATAAAAGTATGTCAGCAGCTCCTTTACTGAACCCTCTCTATGGACCCAGCACTGCCTTAGGCTTTATGAGACATGATTCTGGCACTCAAAGATCTCATATTCTAACTGGGATTAGTGGATGATATGGTTTGGAGCTATGTCCCTGCAAAATCTCATGTTGAAATATAATCCCCAGTTTTGGAGGTGGGATCTGGTGGGAGGTGTTTGGATCATGGTGGCCGATCCCTCATGAATGGCACAGTGCCATCTCCTTGGTGATAAGTGAGTTTATGACAGTTTGGGTTGTTTGAAAGTGTGTGGCACCTCCCTCCTTGCTCTCTTGCTTCTGCTCTGGCCATGTGATATGCCTGCTCCCGCTTTGCCTTCTGTCATGAGTAAAAGCTCACTTAGCCCTCCCCAGAAGCCAAGCAGATGCCAGTGCTATGCTTGTACAACTTGCAGAACCATTAACCAATTAAATCTCTTTTCTTTATAAATTACCCAGTCTCTGGTATTCCTTTACAGCAATACAAGAATGGCCTAATACAGAAAATCAGTACTTAGGAGTGGGACATTGCTATAAAGATACTTGGAAATGTAGAAGCAGCTTTGGAACTGGGCAATGGGCAGAAGTTGGAGGAGTCTGGAGGACTCAGAAGAAGGCAGGAAGATGAGGGAGAGTTTGAAACTTCTTAGAGACTGCTTAAATAGTTGTAACCATAATGCTGATAGTGATATGGACAAGTGAAGTCCAGGCTGCTGAGGTCTCAGACAGAAATGAGGAACTGATTGGAAACTGGAGAAAGGTTACCCTTGTTATTCTGTAGCAAAGGACTTGGTGGTTATATTGTGTCCATGCCCTAGGGCTCTGTGGAAGTTTGACATTAAGAGTGACAACCTAGGGTATCTCGTGGAGGAATGCAGTGAAGCATTCAAGATATGGCCTGGCTACTTCTAACATCCTATAGTCAGAGGCAGGAGCAAAGAAATAACTTAAAATTGGAATTTATATTTAAAGGGGAAGCAGAGCTTAAACGTTTGGAAAATTTGCAGCCTGGCCATGTGGTAGAAAAAGAAAGCCCATTTTTCAGGGGAAGAATCTAAGTGGGCTGGGGAACAACCGCTTGCTAGAGATATTTGTATGGGTAAGAAAGAGCCAGGTGCTGATAGCCAAGATAATGGGAAAAAGGCCTGAAAGGAATTTCAGAGGTCTCTGAGGCAGCTCCTCCCATCACAGGCTCAGAGGCCTAGGAGGGCTGAATGGTTTCATGGGCCAGACCCAGGGCCCCATTGTCCTGTGTAGTCTTGGGAAACTGCTCCCACATCCTCGCTGTTCCAGCTCCAGCCATGGCTCAAAGGGTCACAGATACAGCTCAGGCTGCTGCTTCAGAGGGTGCAAGCCATAAGCCTTGGAGAGTTCCATGTGGTGTTAAGCCTGTGGGCATGCAGAGTACAACAGTGAAGGAGGCTTGGCAGTCTCTCTATAGACTTCAGAGGATGTATGAGAAAGCCTGGGTGCTAGGCAGAAGACTGTGGCAGGGGCAATCCCTCACAGAGAACCTCTACTAGGGCAGTAGTATTGAGGGGGAAATGTGGGGTTGGAGGCCCCATGGAGACCCCACTGGGGCACTGCCTACTGGAGCTGTGAGAAGGGGACCACTGACCTCCCAACCCCAGGATAGTAGATCTACTGGCAGCTTTACATCTTGAGCCTAGAAAAGCTGTAGGCACTCAACTCCAACTAGGAAGTGCAGCCTTGGGGCTGAACCCTGGAAAGCCACAGGAGTGGAGCTGGCCAAGGCCTTGGGAACCCATCCTTGCTATATTATGTCTTGCATGTGGGACATGAAGTCAAAGGAGATTATTTTGGAGCTTAAAGATTTAATGACTTGAAGATTTAATGGAGCTTAAAGATTTAATGGGTTTCAGACTTGCGTGGAGCCTGTAGCCCCTTTGTTTTGGCCAATTTCTCTCTTTTGGAATGGGACTGTATACCCCATGTCTGTACCCACACTGTGTCTTGGAGGTAAATATATATTTTTTAATTTTATAGGCTCATAGGTGTAAGGTACTTGCCTTGTTTCAGACTTTGGACTCTGGACTTTTTAATGAAGCTGAAACAAATTGTGGCTCTTGGGGAACTATTGGCAGGAGATTATTATATTTTGCAATGTGAGAAGAACATGGGATTTGGGGGGCCAGGGGCAGAATGATATGGTTTGGATCTGTGTCTCCACCAAATCTCATGTTGAAATATAATCCCCAGTGTTGGAGGTGGGGCATGGTGGGAGGTTTTTGGATCATGGGGGCAGATCTCTCATGAATGGCTTAATTGCATCTCTTTGATGATGAGTGGGTTCATGCAAGATTGGATTGTTTAAAAGTGTGTGTCACCTTCCTCCCCCTCTTGCTCCTGCTCTGGCCATGTGACATGCCTACTCCCACTTCATCTTCTATCATGAATAAAAGCTCCCTTAGGCCTCTCCAGAAGCTGATCAGATGCCAGCACCATGGTTGTACTGCCTGCAGAACTGTGAGCCAAATCAATCTCTTTTCTTTATAAATTATCTAATTTCAGATATTCCTTTATAGTCAGGCAAGAATGACCTAACACACTGGACGTGCAAGGGAGACACCGGTAAACAAAGTGATACTGTCAAAAACCAAGTGCTCACATAAAAAAACAAATAAGGATCCAGAGGAGATGGAAGGTGTGCTTCCATTTCTAAGCCCTTGTTCATGCTTTTTCTTCCACTTTGAAAGCCACCCTCTTCCTTTAGAAATCCTGCCCATCCTTAAAAACTGGCCCAATGCCATTTTCTTTAAGATGCCTTTCCTTATCACTCTAGTCAGATTGATCTCTCCCAGCCCTGTAGTCTTATCTTTTTTTCTGTACTAATTCTACGGACGTTATTACATATGGGTTCTTATTATAAATATTTACATATATTAGGAAAAAATATCTCCTTTGGTTCCCAAATGGCCAAAACCAGATTTTTTGTATCTTGGGATGTTCCACAGTATCAAAAACAGTGTCATTCATTTATTGAGTAGGTGATCAATATGCTCATTGAATGGATGATTATGTAATGAATGATTGAGTCACAGGATTTTGTATAAAAGCTACAAGGATATTTGTATTATTTATTACAGTTTACTAAGACCTTCCCCATATATTATATTTCTTAATTCTGTAAGGTAGTAATTATCATTGTCACCTTACATATCAGTTAACCAAGGATCAGAGAGGTTGAGAAACTTGTTTAACCTCAGAAAGCAAGTAAATGGCAGATCTGACATTTAAACCTAGGTCCTTTGGCTCCAGAAAAAAGTCCAGTACTCTTCCCATTTCCTCATTCTACTTTTTTTTTTTTTAAGACATTTATTCTGTTCAGCATCATGATCGGACTATTACATTTAGCAATCAACAACATGGTGCAGAAAAAAAAACATTAAAACCCTTTGTTGGAATGCCTTACACTTTTCACATAACAGAAACTAAAATAACCTGTTATACAATTAGTCACAAATACAGTCCTTGAGGTTTTTTGCCCATACACATGAATGTTTGTCTAAAACGTGTCTTCTTTGTAGCAGCTAAGCCCTGCCACCACCCTGCTTGACTGAGTTCACAAATTTGTTATAACCTATAGCTTCCCTGTCACTTATCTGGCTCTCCTCTCCTGCTAAGTTTTGTTTCCTAATTGAAATCTTCTGCCACTGCCATAGCTACTGCTGCTACTGGAACCCCCATAGCCACCTTGGTTTTGTGGTTTGGCAAAGTATTGGCCTCCACCACCATAGAGGCAAGATCTTTTGCCTCCAAAGTTTCCTCCCTTCATGGGTCCAAAATTTGAAGACTGATTGTTGCAATTGCCAAAATCATTGTAGCTGCTACCACCTCCAAAATTCTTTCCATCATTACCAAATCCATTATAGCCGTCTGCACTGCCACCATGGCTGCCACCAAAGCCACCACAACCACTGAAGTTTCCTCCATGACCAAAGTTGTCATTCCCACTGAAACCACCTCCACGACCACCACCAAAGTTTCCAGAACCACTTCGACTTCTTTGGCTGGACGGAGCACTAGCCATCTTTTGCTTTGACAGGGCTTTCCTAACTTCACAGTTGTGGCCATTCACAATATGGTATTTCTGAATGACAATCTTATCCGTGGAGTCATGGTTGTCAAAAGTTACAAAGGCAAAGTCCCTTTTCTTGCCACTGCCTTGGTCAGTCATGATTTCAATCACTTCAGTTTTTCCATACTGTTCATAATAATCTCTTAGGGGATGTTCTTCAGTGTCTTCTTTAATGCCACCAACAAATATCTTTTTCACTGTTAAGTAGGCACCTGGTCTTTGAGAATCTTCTCTTGAGACAGCTGTCTTTGGTTCCACAACTCTTCCACCCATCTTGTGTGGCCTTGCATTCATGGCTGCATCCACCTCCTCCACAGTGACATAGGGGACAAACCCAAAGCCCCTGGAGCGATTGGTGTTTGGATCTCTCATTACCACACATTCAGTGAGCGTTCCCCATTGCTCAGAATGGCTCCTCAGGCTCTCATCTGATGTTTCAAACCTCAACCCTCCAATGAAGAGCTTCCTTAGCTGTTTGGGCTCTTTAGGAGACTCTGACTTAGACATGATGGCAGGGAGAAGAGAGACTTTATCAATGCTTCCTCAGCAGCATCCACGGACAGAAAGGAGTAAGCTGACAAATGTATCTCCTCATTCTACTTCTTATAGTTATTCACTATAGGGTTTATTTAAATGAATTTAAAAGCCTTTAGTAACTGGAGATTATAAGGAGTGTGAGGAAAGACTATTGAGGCTCTGAGTATTCTTAAAAGGCTAATACACCAACTCATTTGTATATGTTTTAATGAATCCGATGCCATTTTAAGAACCAGTATCACCGATGTTTCACTGGATGTCTCAGATTGAGGATCTCTTCAAATGATACAGCTCTTTATCTCTCTTCAGAAAGCAGCTGTTGGGTTCTTCATCTTGTTGCAGGAATTTTTTTTTTTTTTTTTGCAAATATCAAACCTGCATTCATAAGTTAAAGTGTTGTGATATTTAATACATCAGTTGATGTTTTTAATAAATAAGGCTCTCTGCAGCTTTTCTGTTATGAATCACAGTCTTCAACATTCATCCGAACGATGGATATTCGGCATGCCTTAAGTTCAAGTTTTTTGTTCTCTTATAGCCAAGTGGCTACAAAATAATAGTATCAATCTACTTCAAAGGCAGTCTGATAGAGTGTAAAAGGGCTTCACTTGGGTTCAGAAGATGTGAGTCAAGACATGAGTCAACTGTCCTTTCTTCCATTGAAAGGAGCTGTGTGATGCCAGGCAAATCCTTAATGGACGTGGGTCTTCTTTTCTCCATCTATGGAATGAAGGAATTGAAAAGTCTGATCTTTAAACTCCTTCCAGCTCTAATGTTCTAGGATTCATTTGGTCTTTTGTTGAACAAGAAAGCCCTATGCTTCCAAATGGTTATAGGAGCATTAATTTTAGACGATTAAAGACATCTCTCCTACTCGCAGGTCATGTGAGATTAAATAAATCGCTTAAGCTCTTCCTTGGTTTACTCATCTGAAAGGCAGGTATAATAATAACTACTATACAAGATTTTCAAAAGATGTTATAAGAAAGGCCTTTGTAAACTTCAGTATACCGTACACATATTCTTGGCTGCCTGCTGCTCAAATATAAAATGCAACTTTGTAATATAAAAAATCTGAAATGATAAGAAAACATAATTCTAAGTATTCTTCTCGTATCCGTTTTTAATTATTTATTGTCATATAATATTTGATAAATACACGATAATATATATAACATATATGGAAGTTTTGCAGCATAATAATAAAATGAAAACTCATGACCCTACCACCCATCCTAGGTACTAAACCATTCTCAACATCAATGAAACAGCCCTGTATGTTTTTCTCTGATCCAACCCTCTACTTTCCTACTAGAGTTTGCATTTTTAACCATCTAAAATATGTTTACCACATATGTATGTATTCCTGAAGAGTATGTTATTTAGTTTTGCTTGTTTTTTTTTCCTTTGGTTAAAAAATGACATGATAGTGTATGTAGTCTTCTGAGACTTTCTGTTTTTCCCCACTTAAGGTTATATTTTTATCATTAAGCTGTATTGTATCTTGTACACCTAGATCATACATTTTTGCTGTTGCATAATATTCCATTCTGTAACTCTGCCACATAGTATTTATCCATTTTCATGAAAGTGAACAGTTAGGTTGTTTGCAGTGCTTTTACTGTTGAAACCATAAAACTAAAGCAGCCATGAGCAAGGTGTACTCTCCTGGTGCACATGAATAATTGTTCCCGCTTCCATCTATGCTTAATTTTTCTCCTTAATATTTCTTACTATTTAGCATTATGGGCGCATGCACCCACACACATACATAACATATCTCAAGGTTTTGTATATAAGTATATACAGGCATACACGCACATGCACACACACTAGTCAAAAATCAAAAATCCACAGGTGCTCAAGTACCTGATATAAAATTGCATTTGCACAAAAAATTAGCTGGGCACGGTGGCGGGCACCTGTAGTCCCAGCTACTCGGGAGGCTGAGGCAAGAGAATGGCATGAACCCGGGAGGCGGATCTTGCAGGGATCAGAGATTGCGCCACTGCACTCCAGCCTGGGCGACAGAGCAAGACTGTCTCAAAAAAAAAAAAAAAAATTGTATTTGCATATAACATATGTACATCCTCCTGTGTACTTTAAATCATCTCTAGATTACTTTTAATACCTAATACAATGTAATGCGATGTAAATATATATATTCACACACGCACAAATAATTAGCTGGATTCACAGTTGGAATATAATATTTTTGTCTATTTTTTCCCTGCTGTATTCTCAGTACCTAGAAAAGGTACTCAGAAAGGGCTCAGAAAATATTGAATGGATGAATTAACGAATAGGGTTTTGTTGCTTGATTGTTAAATAAATAAATTATCATGTTAGGACTTACTGTTGATGCAGAAATCATCATGGAATATTGAAAAGACACTGAATAAGTGTCTTCTCTCTACATTCAGTTATTCAGTGTGCTTAGGTTATAGTCCCAGATCTGCCACCAACTAGCTGTGAAACTTTGGGCAAGTTACTCAATCTTTCTGATTCTGATTATGAATATTTATATGAAGTTAATAGTAATTTCTGTGTATTGTGATGATTGGCATGTGATATTTATACAAATGCTTTATGAACCATGAACTGATACATAAGTACATGCTGGTTGTCATTATTCCTATGGTAAATGTTCCTCACATTTACTGAGATTTAAAAAATAAGCATGAAGTTACTTGGTTTCACGTCAAGAATTTTTGAGGTTGGGCAAGCAGACTAAGAGAAAAATAAGAGACTGGAGAGAGTGAAAAAGCCCAGCTCTGGGGGCCTAATCTGGTACACTTTGTTTTGGATGTGCAGTACCAAGCTTTTGCTGCAAAATCAAGCTATTTTTAACCTCAAGTAAGCATAAAGAATCTTTTTTAAAGTAGGGCAACCAAGATAGTGTGTTACCCTTTCCAATAAGCCTGCCTAAATGAAATATTCATCTTTTATGTCAAAATAAGAAGTGATATATATAGTTGAGCACTAAGAAGGGATAGAGTCTTCTGAGGGTGAATCCTTCAAAAGTCCTGCATATAAAATAACTATAGCAGAAATATCCATTAATATTGAATTAAATTTCTACATTGTAGATAAATGAGATTTTCTCTTTTTTTCTTTTATCTCAGACTCTCATGAACGGGCAAAGGCAGAGGTGGTGATGTCTGAGAGAAGTTTTTTACCTCCCTGTTTCCAGAGTAGTGCAATGGAAAAAACACCCCTGGATTTGTGCTGCTCAAAATTAATAGCTTTGGCCTCCACTTTATCATCTGTAAAATGGATTAATAAGAGAATATTGTCCCACTCCTAGTGGTGTAAGAATTAAGTATAATAATGTGGGTGAAAGCCCTGTGTAAACTGTACAGCGGGATGCAGATGCTGATGTTATGAGATCAGGATCAAGAGACCGAAGCTCAAAGCAAATGTGTGTATTTGTATTCTGAGAACCAGACCCTGGGGAAAAGCATGAAGTGAGCCTTTTACCACTGACTTCTTCCTGTCGCCCGTGCCTTTTTTTGTTGTTGTTTGTTTGTTTTTTTGTTTTGTTTTGTTTCCGAGACAGAATCTTGGTCTGTCGCCCAGCCCAGAGTGCATGGCGCGATCTCGGCTCACTGCAACCACCACCTCCCAGGTTTAAGCAATTCTGCCTCAGCCTCAGAGTAGCTGGGATTACCGACGCACGCCGCTACGTCCAGCTAATTTTTGTGGGGTTTTTTGTTTGTTTGTTTGTTTTAGTAGAGACGGGGATTTCACCATGTTAGCCAGGCTGGTCTCAAGCTCCTGACCTCGTGATCCGCCCACCTTGGCCTCCCAAAGTGCTGGGATTACAGGCGTGAGCCACCGCGCCCAGCCGCCCGTGCCTTTTATGAGGTCTTCCTTCTTTCTCCCTCATCTCATCTTTCTCATGTGTTCCTGGCACTTCCGTTTAGCCACTTACTGAAGGTCTTCTTCAGCACAGACTTGGCAGTTTTGTTTCCCTGGAACCGAAGTCCCCCCTGCCCTACGCATCTATCCTGTGTTCCCTTTCCCCCACAGTTTTGGCCCTGGCCTCTCCTTCCTAAAGCAATATCAAGGACAGCAGAGGGGGAGCCCAAAGCGTTATTTGGCTTCATGTTCACTCAGAGCCGCAAGTACTGAGTTTTGATACAATCTCTGGTTGAGTTTTGCATGGTCACAGAGATCCACTGATAAGACTGAGGAAGAAAAGGTCCACCTTTTCTTTAAAAAGCTAAACTAAAGCTTTAACTTTTTTACAAGTTGCACACAGGTGTTTTGACATTTTTACATATGCCAGGAACCATTTGGAAAAAGCACAGGCCTCTCTCACTCTTTGACAAGGTCTGGGTGATAGAGTTACTATGAGATCATTGTTAATAGATGCTCATGGAGTAGTGTCTATGGTTTTAATTCCGTGTTTCATAGTCACAGTGAGAATTTCAATAGATCAGTTAGGAGAAGAAACAGTGGATTCCTTAAGAAAAAAAGAGGTGTTTAAAAACTTTTTTTAAAAAATGAAGTATGAATAGCCATGTATGGATTGGAGCTGGAACGGAAAGCCAGCTCTAGGGGCCTTCTGCCTTCTTGACTCTCTCTTTTGGCCCCATATAGTTTCTCTCTTACTGTCTCAGCTTCTCTCCACATTCTTTTCCATTCGCTTCTCCGTATTTCCTGAGCCAAATTCCAGAGGAACTTAGCTTGGCTAGCTTAGCTCATTCTACTGCCATTGTTGGGTGAGACCCTTTGAATAAAGCCACCCACTGGTTTCCGGTCCACCTACTCTTGATTCAACCAGCAACCAGTGCTTTGTGGTGAACAACCTGGCCCTGCCTCCGTGGGAAGAGCTGAGAGTCTGCAGGTTTCCAGTAGAACAGAAATATGAGTAACAGATCCAGGACACCAAAGTGTCAGGTCCCATTGAGCATGAAGGAGAGAAATTGCTTTGAGCAGATCAATGTCTCAGCTTGAAAGGCCCCCGCAAGACACAACTGCACAGCCCCATTTCCTCCCACCTCTACCATGAAAGATTGTTCCTGCAGATTAGACATAAGTCTGTCTCTCAAATATGTATTCCATTTCCCAAAGACTCCAAAAAGTGGGCAAATCATTCTGGTCTTGGGGCTGAAGTGGGAAGGCTCTTTTTTCTTTTTCTTTTCTTTTTTTTTTTTTTTGAGACAGGGTGTCTCTCTGTTGCCCAGGCTGGAGTACAGTGGTGCTATCTTGGCTCACTGCAGCCTCTATCCCCTGGGCTCTAGTGATCCTCCCACCTCAGGCTCCCAAGTAGCTGGGACTACAGGTGCACCACCACAGCTGGCTAATTGTTAAAATCTTTTTTGGTAGAGGTGGGGTTTCTCCATGTTGCCCAGGCTGGTCTTGAACTCTTGAGCTCAAGCGATCTGCCCGCCCTACCCTCCCAAAGTGCTGGGGTAACAGGCCTAAGTTACTGTGCCCGGCCGGAAGGCTCTTTCATAAAAATAAAGCAGCTCAAAGGAATTCACTTAAGATTGTTAGAATTTGGATCCAATATTGAATTTTTTTTCCATCTCAAATCCTAGATCCTATTCTTCCGCTTGCCAGTTGTGGAACATTGAAAAAGTTATTTAAGTCTCAGTGGTTTCATCTGTGTAATGGCCGTAATGCTAGTATCCACTTCTACATTTTTGTGAGGATAAAATGAGAGAGCACATGGAAATGCCAAGCTTAGTTCCTGGCACATAGCAAGTATTCAATAGATTTCACCTGTTTTTATTGCTTCTGCTTGATTGCCTCATTTATTATCTCTCCAAATATGTCATTTAATCAACATTTTTTGAAGGCTTACTCTGAGAGATATTTCACTGAAGCACTTAAGGCACCCCAAAATTACTTAAAATACCCAAAATGAAAGTGATTTAAAAATTTTAACAACCATCTTAACAACCATTAGCATTTACACTAATGTTTTCAGCAAAGTCTTTCTCTACAAATGCAGAATCTTATTATATAATATGAGTAAATTCTGGTATGCTCTAAGCTACAAACTAAATAATCTTTTTAAGTTTATAATTGTGAATCTATGTAACTGAGATGGAATTTTATTCAAAAAGTAATTTTTAAATAATGATAAAAGTTCATAGCATTGAAATAGATTGAGAAATTGTGCTGAAAGAGACAATGTCAAACTTTAGAAAGCACACACAGCTTAAAAGTTATGAATCTGTGTAATTTTTGCATGACATTTCTTCTCAAAATAAATATAACACTTTTTTTCTCTTGAATGAAAAATTCTGTGCTAACTCATATCCTCCCAAACATTTCTTGCCCACAATAACTTATCAGTGTGTGTACAGGATGGAGGAAAAAAATGCTAAGGAAGTAGTTTTCAGTTTCAAGTTTCCAAAGGGTTATTATAAACAACCATCAGTGTGTTTGAACAATGGGGCTTTTTAGTTAATTTAATTTTTTGCTTACCTTTGGATTGGCCTAAATACTTTTTCATTTTAATCCATGCTAAAATGCACTGGAGTATGGTTAACATAAATGAATCTTAGATAGTTTGGGGCGCTGGGTCATGAGCAAGAATGCTAATTCTCACATAGGCATTCAAAAAACTTTTGTTGACTGAATGTGCTAAACTGTACATGTACATGGTCCATGGGCAGAGGATGTGTTAACTGAAGGACATCTCTAGAACAAGGCTTTCAAACATATTTTAGAGAAACCCACATTAAAAAAAATTTTTTTCTATCACAACCCATTACCAATAAATATACGTGTGTGTGTGTATTCACATAAAGAGTTGAGACAAAAATTTTGCAAAAATATAACTACCAGCTACAAAGTATTCTGATAATTATCTTTTTAAAATTGTCTTTCATTTTTCAAAAGGGATGCTATTTGTGACTTACTGAATTGGTTTTATGATCTACCAGTGGATTATGACCTGTAGTTTGAAAAACATTTTTAAAAGCATATTTCTTACATTAGCATGCGTTGTTATTTTGCATAATTTACCTAAGCATTGAACCCTGAGAAAAAAGCTTTTGTGGTTATTTTCTTTTGTAGATTTTTCCAACTTTGGAAAATTGGAACTAAATTTCTTGGTTAATACTGATTTTTAAATTTAGATTAACTTAAATTAGCTTTTGGTTACTGTACTTCAAAAACAATCTATTCCAAAGACCTGAATTTAAAGAAATTGCTTAAATTTGTTTTACCAAAGTATCCAAACATGAAATAATAGGTTTACACCTATCTGAAACATGAAATAATTCAATGATTAATGAAAGCCTTTAAAAAATAGGAAATTATTAATTAGGGATTACAGTAAAAATAATGACCTTAAAGTGTCTGACATGCCGGGCGTGGTGGCTCACTCCTGTAATCCCAGCACTTTGGAAGGCTGAGGTGTGAGGATCCCTTGAGCCCAGAAATTCGAGACCAGCCATGAGCAACATGTTAAGACCCTGTCTCTACAAAAAAGTACAAAAATTAGCTGGGCGTGGTGGCGCACACCTTGGAGGCTGAGGTGGGAGGATCACTGGATCCCAGGATGCAGAGATTGCAGTGAGCCAAGATCATGCCGCTGCACCTGGGTGACAGAGCAAGACCCAGTTTCAGAAAGAAAAGAAAAGACAAGAAGATTAAAAACTAATCTGAGCCAGGTGAGTGGTGTGCACTCGTAGTCTCAGCTATTCAGAAGGCTGAAGTAGGAAGATCGCTTGGGTCCACGAGTTCAAGACCAACCTGGGCAATGTATCGAGACACTACCTTAAAACAAAACAAAACAAAGCAAAACAGCAATCAAAAAAACCCAATATGAGAAAAAAGTACCTCATCAAGCTACTGAATAACTTGAGCACACTCTAGCATCTGTTCTGTTGCTTATTTGTTTTTGCTTTTACTGGCATCAGGAATTATTTCTATAGTTCCTCTGGTATGTTCCCCTGACATGGGATATGCCAGGCACATGTTCTTAAAAACAATTTCTTAACATAAAGAAATTTCGCATTTCAAATCCTTAAGAGTTGGAGAACTTAAAATCTCATACTGGAATGAAAATTGCTTCTTCTGCTTTCAAAGGCCTTTTGATTAAGGGCTTACTTACTACCCTGTCTCTACTAAAAATACAAAAAGTTAGCTGGGCATGGTGGTGCACGCAGGTGGTCCCAGCTACTCGGGAGGCTGAGACAGGAGAATCGCTTGAACCCAGAGGCCAATATAGTGGGGGTGGGGGACAGAGATGGCTCTTAAAGGCAATGATTTGGCCAGTTGTCAGGTTCAGGAGAGTTCTATTAAGGAGACAAGCTCCCAGGTGTTTATTGGGTGCCTATGGAGTTTTAGCCAGTCTTCTGCTTCTAAAACTATTAAATATTAAGCTACCTTGGGATGCATTGCAGAACCTCATTTTATTTTTCCCCTGTGGCTTCCATGTGGCCCTTTATATGGCCTAAGTGGGGCAGTTATGAACCACATCCCCTCTCACCAGGCACAGTGTGTTCCTGGTGCCGGAGAGGTGGTGGGGCAGGTCTGAAGTCTCATGGGAAGCAAATACTCAGTCCACATTGATTCCCAGGCCTGACTCAAAAGGGCTGTGTGATTTGAGGAATTACCCTCATTGTGCTTCCCCATTCTCAGAGAGTAAAACCACAGGGCAGTTCTGGCTGACGGGTTTGCACCTATCTGGTGTCTGCTCCACTGTTTCTGTCATGTTGAGTCACAGGGCATTCATTAGTGACTGCCTTGTGCAGTGCAATGATGTAGTGAGGAGTCCGTAGCCCTGGGCCTGAGTGGGTTGATCCTGGTGGGAATTTCAGTTGTGGAGCACTGGCTCTGTGAGGCTGGACACATTACTTTAGTCTTCCAAGCACCTTAAGTTTCTTCATCTAGAAAATGGAAACAATAGTATCTACCAAGTAAGCTTGTTGAGAAGATTAAATAAAAACTAACAAGTGGCTGGGTGCAGTGGCTCACGCCTGTAATCCCAGCACTTTGGGAGACTGAGGTGGGCGGATCACTTGAAGTCAGGAGTTCGAGACCAGCCTGGCCAACATGGTGAAACCCTGTTCTATTAAAAATACAAAAAATCAGCTGGGCGTGGTGGTGCACGCCGGTGGTCCCAGCTACTTGGGAGGCTGAGACAGGAGAAACGCTTGAACCCGGAGGTGAAGGTCGCAGCGAACCGAGATCGTGCCACTGCACTCTAGCCTGGGTGTCAGAGACTGTGTTTCAAGAACAACAACAACAGCAACGACAACAAAAGCTAACACGTATCAAAGGCTTGTGTGCCAAGTACTGTTCTAAGCACTTTTTAGCTTTACATGTGTTAACTCCATGAATATTTACAGCAACTCTATGAGGTAGTTGCTGTCATCATTTCCATCTTACAGAGGAGGAAACCAAGGTTGATTTGCATAAGATCACACAAGTAGGAGGTGGCAGAGCAAGGATTAGAATCCAGGCAGCCTGACGCCAGAACCTATGCTCTTAATGCAAAATATTCATGTAGGAATTTAGGAACATAAAACTGTTTTAAAATGGTTCTACTGCATCCAAAATTCATTCAATGAATATTCCACAAATGTTCCTCAGTGCCAACTGGGTGAGAAGCCCTGTGCCAGGTGCTGTGGGGAAGCAAAATTAAGTAAGACATCGTTGTTACATATAACAGAGAAGAAAGATTCAGTGGCACCCCTACAAGGGGAAGTAGTACAGGGTGATTGCTGCAGGAATTTGGGAGTGGGGGTTGGGCAGAGATTGGGAGTTCTGGTGTTGCCTCTGATTGGCTGAGGGTGGATAAAACGAGGGGAGAGGTCAAAGATATTGCTGAGACGTCAAGAAGGGTGGAAATCTGTCTGAAAACCAAAAGGATGAGAACTCAAAAAAAATGGTGATCCCATGAACAGCATGGAGGGATCCAGAGGCACTGGAGTGGCCAGGAGAGGAAATGCCAAGGTCACCTGAGGACCTCGTAGGACTCTGTGAGGTCCAGTGGGGTGGCAGGTGGTCCTGGTCATGCTCAGCTTCTCTGTATACCCCGAATTACATCATATAGACAGTGCTGTTATTGAGCTGAACATGCAATACGTGCTTGTTCGTCATTAATTCATTCCACAAGTGTTTAATCAGCATCTATTTTGTGTCATGTGCTCTTAGGGTCTGAAGCTTTCTCATCTCAGAGTTCACATTTACTGTGAATTTGGAGAGGGAAGCCTTTTAATCTATTAGTCTTCTAGGTTTTATCTTTTTCTTTCTTTTTTTTTTTTTTTTTTTGAGACGGAGTCTCGCTCTGTCACCAGGCTGGAGTGCAATGGTGCGATCTCTTGACCTCATGATCCGCCCGCCTTGGCCTCCCAAAATGCTGGGATTATAAGCCTGAGCCACCACGCCCAGCCAGTTTTATCTTTTTCTTTCTCAGTTTTATACACTGACTATCGTTACTGCTAACTCCTCACATTAAGGGTGCCCAGGGCAAGAGCGTAAGTGGAAGTCTAGTTACAAGGCACGTTTTAATTTTTAATTTATAAATCAGGATCACAAACAAGTAAAAAATGTTCTACCCTCTTACTTTGATAAAAATACCCACTAAGGACTTGGAAGGCCAGGTTGGAGTTTGTGATTGTCAGTTGGCTTGGAGAAGCGCACCAAGACGTGGCAGTTCGGAGGGACAGTACTGGCCGGTGGCCGCTTCCTGCTACACAGTAAGGGACCTTGGGAGCTTGTGTGGGACCATCTCTGCCTGTGAGTTTGAGCTTTGTTCACTCCCCATACCCCTCTACTACTTCTTTGCCATCCTCTGGAACTAGAGCAGTCTGCCCTTGACCCAAGAGAGAGGCTGCAATTAGCCTTAGAAGTAGGATTGCCAGGCGTGGTGGCTCATGCCTGTAATCCCAGCACTTTGTGAGGCTGAGGCGGGAGGATCGCTTAAGGTCAGGAGCTTGAGACCAGCCTGGCCAACATGGTGAAATCTCGTCTCTACTAAAATACAAAAATTAGCCAGGCATCATGGCGGGTGCCTTTAATCCCAGCTACATTGGAGGCTGAGGCAGGAGAATCGCTTGAAACCTGGAGGCAGAAGTTGCAGTGAGCCGAGATCCCAGAAATGGGGACACAGGCTCTGGGTGGACATGTCCTTTTTGTCTAGTAGGGAGAAATGGATGAAGGAGGCCAGAGGGTGGCCTTTAACTTGTGGAGCTGAGGTTAGGGCCCCACTTCCCTTGTGTTCAGTAGTAGCACCAACCAAATGGAATCTTGTCACTTGTACCCTTGCATTTCTCAGGTCAATAATGACAACATGTATTTTCCTACAAGTTGCATGGTCACTAGCCTACCTCTTGAAACCTGTCCTAAAGTTTTCAAATACTCATTTTTGTAGACTTTGCCAAAAAAAAAAAAAAAAAAAAGCAAAAGCAAAAGCAAAAAGGTAGTCATGACTCCAGTCTTATTGAAGGCAATTGCAAAAAAGAAAAAACAAGTTTCAGGTTTTTAACAGTCAAACCAAAACCAAAGAAGATGGGCTTCATTTTGCTGCAAATTCTGTAGACATTGCTTTTACACATAAATTCAGGGAAACCCCTGATTTGCATTATTACATTTTTCAGTTTTCTGTAATTTATTTCCCTTTTGATTTCTCCTAATCATTAATTTCCTATATTTGTAATTTGTCTTCAGTTATTAGAGCTGATTTGTAGCATCCCATCATTTGCTGTGGATCTCCATCTGAAAATCAGAAAACAGTTTTTTTTTTTTTTAAATGTGACTAATGAGGGCTTTGCCAATTCAAACGATGCACTGCATCCATTATGCTGGGCATTGCTCTTACCCCTAGAAATATTTGAATAAATAAGACCTGATTATTATCCTCAAATTGCTCAGTCTGGTGGTTGAGACACATAAACATATCAATTATAATAAAGCACAATAAGTGCTACTAGAGGGGGCTATGTGAGGAGAGAGGACTGCAAAGTTGATCTACCTGGGGGAGTCCGCGAAGATTTTAACAGGGAGTTGGCATTTCAGCTGGGGCTTAACAAGGAGCAGGAGTGTGCCAGACAAGTGAGAAGACCATTATTGTTCATTTTCCTTGTGAATTATTTATTTTTGCTACTTAATTATGACTCATGAGATATCTGGGCATTATATTCCGTTGCCCATAAATCCAGATTTTCTATGTTTTCTCATTTTCAGCCCAGCATTTCACATTTGGGAGATAGTTTCTTAGGTAACTCTCAGTGTTAACATCTATAAAATGGACCTAACAGTGCCTACGTATAGACTTGTTTTGAGGATTTAAGGCAACAATGTGTCTAAAGGCCATGCACTGTGCCTGTGGCTGAGCCAGAATGTGCTTGGACACATGTCATGGAACTTCAACTCTTGTGGTTTAACCAAGTTGGAATTTGTTTTCCTGGGATGTCAGGAAGTCCTGAGGAACATATAGGACTGGTGCCTTGGCTCTCAGATAGGGCCAGGGTCTTGAGCTCCTGCTAACTTTCTGCTCTTGGCCTTTTCACACTTGTTGAGTCATGGTCACGAGATGGCCACTCCGCCTCCAGCCTCCTGTCCAGTGCAGGACGAATAAAGAGGAAGGAAGAAGGTAGTGCCTTTGTCAGGAAAAGCAAAAATTTACCAGGAAATCTCTATCAGACTTCTGCTTATGTGTCAGAGGCCAGAGATTTTTGACATGGCATCCCCTGATTGTAAGGGAATCTGAGAAGGCAAACATCTTTACTGGGCATTTTGGCATCCTAAGCGATACTGGGGTTCTAAATTTAAAAGGAGAATGGCTATTGTGTAGGCAACCAGCAGTCTCTGCTACAGCCTGACACACAATTAACACTCAATAGTTGGCTATGGGTTTGGAGTTGAGGTTACGTTGCTCCAGATCTCTCAGGGGATTCAAGATGACATCTGGTCTACAGGCATGTATCTTATTCTATTACTATGAATATATTCTCAGTAAACTATATTACATTCATTTGTTAATATGAATAAGTATCTATACATGCATATTATAAACTATATTCTTCTGGGTTTATATAAAATATTATTTTATTTTACATGAAACCTTTCTTCCAAAGCCTTTCGGGCCATTTTAGGAGACTCAGTGTATTTTATAAATTTCAACCTCCTTTAAGGAGCATCATCCTTATGTTCTATAATTGTCATAGGGTTGTTATGATCATACCCCCTCAAATGCTTTCACAGAAAATTATTTTTCTTCTTATGCCTAATGCCAGAAACTGACATAGATATCTGAGCCAATGGTCAGTGTCAACTCCAGAAATAAATGTTGTGAATTTTCAACATGCTGTGTAATCCAACCTTTCTGAAATGACTGATGCTGTTTTAAAAGAAAGAAGTAATCACAGTGTATGCTGTGCTTTATGACTTGTCATCATTGTGGATCAGAGGAGAGATACTGGCCAGATCTTGGACTTGGCTGAGTCAAATAGGATCTGAGTACCGAGTTGCTGTCCTCTGTGTGAAGTGGCTCACACACCTTCAGCTGGAGGACCACAGTACGTAGGGATGCTGGTTGTAAGATTTCATATCCTTACTTTGCAGTCCTCTGGCATTTACTGTGTGCTATAGAGCATAAAAAGATGGAGGACATATGATTGCCATGAAGGTGGTAGAAGGTGGTTAAAGACATAGCCTTTGGTTCGGTCCTAGTTTACTCTGCTTTGCCTCTTTCCTCTTTAAGCGTCAGTTTCTTCATGTGTGGAGTGATGGTAATTAATACCTACCCCTGTAGAGTTGTTTTAAGGATTAAGAAGAGATGATACATAGAAAGCAGTTAGCACAGAGTCAGTATTTAGGAACTTCTCAATAAGGGAAGCTATTACATGTTATTACTATCAGATCAATGAACTTATTCATTGGTGTGAAAAGGCACCTACATAAAAATAATGGAAGGTTAAAGTAAAAACAAGGAAGATATAGCAGAAAACATCTATACAAAAATTACATCATCATGTTGTTGATTTTATGTAAATGTCTTGGTTTGAATCTAATTGCTACATCTACAGTGACCTAAGTATCTAGTAGGTAAAATGAAAATTGTTTGAAAAATCAAGTTCTCACAATTATGTAGATAAGTTCTATGAAATTATCTAGATATTGATACGTTAATATAATAGCAAATCACGACATGATATACCACCCAGCTCTACTTCTTACCTGTACTCAGCTCCCATTCTAACTGCTGTGCCTCATGGGAGGGAGTATATGCTGTTTTGATTGATAGTATGGGCTTTCTAGTGAGGAAGACCTCATTGAAACACTGGCAATTGCTGAACTTTTCTGCATCCTTTGTATAATTAAAAACAGAATTATCTACCTCAGTGTTGTAAGAATGTTTTGTTTTGTTTTTTTTTTTAATTATACTTTAAGTTTTAGGGTACATGTGCACATTGTGCAGGTTAGTTACATATGTATACATGTGCCATGCTGGTGCGCTACACCCACTAACTCGTCATCTAGCATTAGGTATATCTTCCAATGCTATCCCTCCCCCCTCCCCCCCCACCACAGTCCCCAGAGTGTGATATTCCCCTTCCTGTGTCCATGTGATCTCATTGTTCAATTCCCACCTATGAGTGAGAATATGCGGTAAGAATGTTTTAAGAAAATGCCTCTTAAGTCCTTAACAAAGTGTCTACCATATATAAAGCAGTTCATAAGTGGTTGTTATTTTTATTATTGGAAATTTATGCTGCATTCCAATGAATGACATTCTAGTCTTTCACTTAGCTTATTAATAATGTACTCAAGCATCTTGAAAGTATTTCTATGAACAAGATGCAGTTTATATACAATACAGATGTTTACAAATCAAGCATTGGTTAGATCAGCATTTCTCAAAATGTGGCGCAGAGCTCCCTGGGGGTCCCAGGAACTCATGTACAGGCATCTCTGAGACACTTTCAGGGGATCTGGAAGATCAACTTTTTCTTAATAGTATTACAACATCATTTGTCTTTTTTATTCTCATTCTTTCATAAGTAGACAGTGGAGATTTCCAGAAGCTACATGATATGTGATATCATAGTAGATTTAATGCAGAAGGGGATATTCAGCTACCTTCTTTTATTTATTTATTTATTTATTTATTTATTTATTTGAGACGAGTCTTGCTCTGTCACCAGACTGGAGTGCAGTGGCGCAATCTCGGCTCACAGCAACCTCCGCCTCCTGGGTTCAAGCAATTCTCCTGCCTCATCCTCCCAAGTAGCTGGGACTACAGGCACACGTCACCATGCTCAGCTAATTTTTGTATTTTTAGTAGAGATGGTGTTTTACCATATTGGCCAGGATGGTCTCAATCTCCTGACCTCGTGATCTGCCCACCTCAGCCTCCCAAAGTGCTGGGGTTACAGGACTGAGCCACCGCACGCGGCCCAGCTGCCTTCTTTTAAGCCAGGTTTTACAACACTCCAAAAATATAAAACAATGCCTCTCTACACTAAAATTTTTTATTTTAGAAAATATAATTATTTTTCATAAACAATTATTTACTTTACATATAATTGGTTTATTATTCTTTTGAAATAAATGGATAAAATATTTTATAATTTCTCAGTTTTAATTTGTAACATGGTAAATGTTGACAGATACAACTCACATAAACAAAAACTCTTTAGAATATCCAATAATTTTTAAGAGTGTATAGGAGTCTTGAGATCAAAATATATAAAAACCGCTGGATTTGATCATATGGAATATTATGTAGTCATTAAAAAGTCACAGAAATATATTTGTTGATATGGAAAACTATTCATAATATATTAAGTGAAAATAGCAGCTTACAAAATGATGTGAGATATTACCCTATTCTTGCTTAAGATGTATATACATATAAATGAAAAGATGATTTTAAGTATTTTATGTTTGTTTTGTCTGCATTTTCTGTCTTTTCTCATAATGAAGATTTCTTTAACAATAAGAAAAAGACAGAAATAGATAAAACTTGATTTTGAAAAATAATTCAATTCACAAAGGATCCATTAGTTGCTGTAAGCAAACACTTATGACTCTGAAGATGTATATTTCTTCCTCTATCTGACTCCAATAAAACAAATTATTTGAAAACAATACAGTACAAATTCTAATCAAATTTTGCTGCATATTTTTGGGATAATTTGAAATAATTAAAAAAAAATTCATTCAAAAGAACGTTGAAATTTGACCAAATATTTTAAAAGCAACTGAACCAAATGTTAAGATTCTGGAAAGGCATAGTGTTGTGAAACTAGAACAAGTTAATCATGGCTTAGTCTCATGTCCTGTTCTGAGATTAATTTATTTATTTTTCCTCTTCTTAATACTATACAATGGTGACTTGTATCATTCTCCAGTCGTATCATGTGTATTTGTTTTATCAGCAGCAGATTATATGGTCTTCCAGAGCAGGAACCAGGTCTTAAAATTATTTTGCCACAATCATAGTACCCAGCAGAGTTCAATGTATAGCAGGCACTGAATGAACACTTGATAAAAAATTTAAGTGTTTCATCTTTCTTGCAGTCTTTTTTTCCATTAACTCATTCTCATTCCATATAAAAGCCTTTAAATGTCTTCATTATTGTATCATAATTTAAGTCTAGAGGGATCTAAAGAGTTCTTAACAAAATAGCCCTGCAGTTTTAAAAAAAAATCATCTTCTATGATCAGATACAGATATTTATTACTTAAAAACAAAATAAAACTAACATGATCCTCTCACTGATTTAGTAGCTAATGATTTCACACTCTATGGTGCTAATTGCCTTATTTATGTCTATTTTTCCATTTGAAATACAAGCACTAAAGCAAATATATGAGCAAATTGAGGCTATCCTGAAGAACAAGCAGTCTTCTCTAACAGCTATCATGCTCTGATAATTTCTAAAAGAGAAGGGAGTGAGGCAGAAAACAGCTGTAGGTTTCAAGTTCAAAGGACTACTAGCCAGTCATGGGGCTGCAGCAGTGCCTCCCACAAGTGAACCTGTGCTCTCAGGGCAGTGGTAGTGGGGATGGCAGGTGGGTTCAATTTTCAGGTTGTAGCAACATAATTTGGTGATGGCTGGATATGAGGGAAAAGGAGGAGCTGAGAATGAAGCCAGAGGTCTAGCTTGGATGACAGGAGATTGGAAATGCCATCAACAGTGTCCATAAGGCATGGCGAGGAAGTGCCTAGAATGGACTTAGATAAGGACACATTGAGTGTAAGTTCAGTTGGGGACTCCTGTGCTATGTGAGTAGCTAACTTCTGAGAATTTCCTCTCCATTAATGGTTATTGTCCTCCTGCGGGCTTTTCTACACGATGTTCCCTGAGAGTAGAAACATCTCTAATCCCTGTTCCCTTGATTTTATTTGTGCATCTTGAGGGTCCACCTTCTGCATCTGCCAGGACCTCTCAGAAAGGTGCCAAATTACCTCAAGTTTCTTCCTGTGGACATTTCTTTGGATGTCATGTTAGAATATCTGTTTGTCCAATTTAGCAGGCAATCTGTGTGTCTTCTGTTTCCACCTACATTCAAAAGTCTTAGATTGTGCTTAGATTATGAGTGCCTTAAAGGCAAGGCAATTGTTTCTACACTATGACTGAAAGTCTTGAAAAAGCAAATGGCACAATATTCCCAATCGGAGAAACAGTGCATTGATCTTCAGAACCTGAAGTGTGGGAATAAACTGTATTTTGTAATGGGCAGAACCCCACAGTGAGGCTCAGAATAACCCAATTTATTACCGTTGCTCTGCCCGTAATTCGCTGTGTGAATCGCTTAATCTCTCCAGGCCACAGTTCACTCAACTATAAAATTAAGGAAAAAGATGCTCATATAACAAGCATAGTTAACACATATTGATTATTTACTGCATAGCAAGCACCATGTTAAACGTGTACATTGTCTCCCTTATCAGCAATCCACTGTGGTGAATGAGTACTGTTTCTACTCCCACTTTAGAGATGAGAAAACTGAGCTTAGAGAGTTTAAGCAATGTGCCCAGGTTCACAAAGCTAGTAAATACTGCATCTGAATTCAAATTTGGATCTGTCACTCTCCCAAGCTTTTGCCCTTATTCACTAAACCACTGCTTCTCCAGGTCCCAACTACTTCTTTCTGAAATTTTCATATCAGAAATAAACAAGTTGGCAAGCATGGAAAACAGAATCATAGTGATTTTCCTGCCTTGCCAAAATCAAACAACAATGTTGGAAAATCAGAACATCTTTACAAACTTGAACAGGGCCAATACTTGATTTCAGTTGATCCTGCAACATGTTGAGAGCCTAGCCTTGTATCATGGAAACATGATGGGCACCACCTGGATTCCTGTTGGCACTGAGAGGAGGCCAGGAATCACAAGGGTGTTGATCAGGCTTTATGTGGTGGTGAGCCACCAAGGTCCCTGCCTCTAGTTAGAGCTCACGATTTATACAGAAGTACTGTGTGCATGATGTAGGCATCACAGCACTGTTGCAATGCTTGGGTGTCTGTGCTGGTGACAGAGCTGTTGCTCTGGGAACATTCCTAAAGGGAGTTTAAGATATTGCTTGTAGTTGTTGAAAGGTGTTTAATGATTATTATTATAGAATAGTCTAATTTCTGTGTCAAAGTAGCAAATTTAGAAAACGACACCTCCTCCCAAATTAATTCAAGTCCCTGAGCACCTTCTGGGGACCAGGCAGAGGCTAGTTGTTGGGGGCATGAAGCTGAACAAGACATCAAATACCTGCAGAAGCCTACACAGAGGACGCAGACATATAACAAAAATATGACGTGATGAGTACTCTGCCGAGGGAAGCACAGAGCACTGGGAGCACAGAATATGCGGAATCTAAAAATGAGTTCAAGGAGGAGATATGTCTATGGACGAAGCTCCCTAAATAGAGGTCCTGTATTTGCTTTCCAGATACTCATCACAGAATTAGATAGTAATCCAGCACAGAGATTTTCATGCTCCTCTCTAAAAGAGAGGCTGGAGGACAGATGCAGCTGGAAACTGAAGAACGTGCTATGAAACCAGGGAGATCCTTTAGAGTCTCATGAGGAACTGTTAAAGGCTTTCTATGAAGGGCCAAATGTTTTCAGAAATTAGGTCACAAACATCTGCAAGGAGATTTTTAACACAGCAAGACCAACAGCAATGGATTGCACCATTGCATTAGTTAGAGGAGGCTACTGTTGTGACAGAATAACAAGTCCATGGTAGTTCCAGGTAGATCTGGAGGACTCTGCAAATTAGTTGGGGACCCAGATTAATGGAGGTTCTGCCATCTTTGGTACGTGGCTCTCGAGGTGGCCCTGGGCATGGACGTCTGGCCAATTTAAGGAGAAAGAACATGGAAGATCTTATATAAGAGGATTTTATGGGCTAGGCTGACCAGGAAGTGCCGCAAATCACCCCTGTTCACCTTCAGTCTTTGGGCCACTGCTAAGTGGCCAAAGGTGGTTGGGAAAGATAATCAGCTGTGAGCCCAAGAGGAAGAGGAAATGGTTTGGTGAATGGCTCACAGTTTCTGCTGCAACCATGGATGGGGATTGCAGGACTAAACCAGAGAGGCCTTTTAGAAACTACTGGAAAGAGGAAAAAAGTAGAGAGAAGAGAAAAACATGATGACCTCTACTGATACAGTTTAAGTTCTTTATTTCTCCCGGGAATAAGGCGGAATCACAAAGCAGTGTACACCTCCAGATTTTGCAAGTGAATTTTGCAGACTGAAGTCTGCAGGAAATCTATGTGTCTTTATGCAATACATACCTTCAATGTAAGCTATGGATATTATATGGTATATTCTAATCATTGTACTTCTAATCATTGTA